>NC_000003.12:86373636-86676666 GCF_000001405.40 Homo sapiens
AAATGGGAATAATCAGTGCATTTAGCAACTAAGTTATTTGAGAGTTAAATATATATAATGGGCTTACATCAGTGCTTGCTACATAGTAAATTTGCAGTAAATGTGATTCATTAATTTATTAGTAAGTTGTTTTATTGTTAGCTTTGTTCTGCATACCACTTTTCCTTTTATGAGAAGAGACCAATAGCTTGCTAAATATTTGTTTATTTGCTGGTACTTTACATATGTCCTGAATTAGATTCACTGAGGAACAATATAAGGGGCAATATTTGAGTACCCATGTGATTATTTCATCTTAATTCCAGACTGCACAGCAAATGATGAAGTAGATTAATAACAGTTATGTTAGGGATATCAGAGCTATGCATGGTACATTTTCCTAACGGGCTTTTTAAATGACATATATAATAGTACATCCTAGTGAAAATTCAAATAACATAGAAAGCAGAAATGAAAGTGTCTAAAAATCTAGTTATGGTTTTAAGGATGGAATGCAGGATGAATAATATTTGTTACACACATTATTTAGGAATAAAAACATAGACATTGAAAAAATTCCCTGTATCAACATATATCAGATATATCAGAGGTTGTTTCCTTGAGTAAAGTAAGGTTACAGATGTAGAAGCAGATTTGGGGAAAAAATATTATTTGAGTTTTGAATATTCATTTTGGGATGCCTGGGTAATAATGAAATGCATACATACGGGCAGGAGTCAAGTAGGTAAGTCTAAAGTGCAAGATAATCAATTAGGTCAGAGGTATAGATCTATAATGTATGATATATAGAATAAACACCATAGATAACACTGAGTTGAAGGCGAAGCTGAAAGGAATGGTATTACTCCACAGGAGTGTGTACAATAAATGAGGAAAGGGCCTACAATAAAAACCTGAATGCATTGCTAATAGAACTTGAAAATAATGATATGAAACTGATGCAGTATCAGGGTGATATTATAAAAAATTCCAATTTTCTAGAAAGTTTCAATTATTTCATAATTATTCAAACAGGAATAATAAGCTCATGAAATCCAATGATCAATTTATATTATTTATTGATAACATTTTTGTTTCAAAAATTGGAAAATCACGTATGTGGCTATTCAACATTAATTTAAATTAAATGGCTCAAAATCTGATGAACATAGGAAATACTTGTATTTTCCCAATACAGATTATTTTATTATGCCATTTTGCATTAATGATATTATCAGCACACATTTTATGAGTGCCTAATGAATATATATGTATTGTGTAAATATTACTTACTATATAGATACATAAATAGACATTGTTTTACTCAAACCAAAAAAAAAACTCCTCTTTTCTCACAGTTTTTTAAATCAATTTTAATTTCTCTAGCTCAATAATAATATTTTGACCAAATGATGTTTGGTAGGGTTCTGCTTTTGGGAAGGCTTCATTATTTGATTTATATTTTAGATTTATAGAGAAAACATTTCCTCGTATCTCTTGCTTGTCCAGGCTTCATCTTCTTGCTTGGCATTATCTGGACAGACCGAGGCTGAAAAGATTTCTTATTAAATGCAACCAATCAGGAGAGTGAGATTCAAGGAGACTGGAGATCTGAAAACTAAATGTTTGGGATAAGGCTATTACAACATGATCTCCACGAGATAAGTCTGAATTGTGTCCTGTGACATTCAGCAGTAGGTAAGACATTTCTGATTATTCCTGATACCAGAAGTTATAAGATTTCCTACTGCCTAAGGTTAAATGAACACTTTTTCAGGATTAACAACACTTTTTCTCCAGTATATATAATATTCTAAGATTTTTACTAAAGCTCCGACAGGCAGTTCTAGACAAATATATATAGGTTCCAACAAAAATGGCATTTTCTAAAACATTTTTAAAAACCTTATTGTATTGTACTAACAATATTACCCAAGGTTATCTGTTTTTGAAATTGTTGAACAAAAATATTTGAAAATACTGATGGAAATGAGGGTAAGATTCATTGCTCAGTCATTTATAGACTATTCCCTGAGCAGAACTGCTTGTTGAAAATCTAGTCAAAGAATAGTTGCATGATCTAAGTGGCCAAATGTAATTAGGTCACAAGTTATAACATCAGTATATTTTAGAAGCTATGGTGACTGCCCCCCATAATTTTCATGGTGTTCTATGCATTTTATTAGTTAGAGGGCTTTTTTATGTTCTTTATGTATCTGCATCCTATAAATAAAAAGTGTCAGAACTGTATTATTAAATCTCCACAGGGCCGTGTGAGATCAAGTTTTAGGCAGCCCTGATGTTATCAAGTTTGCCAGCAACAGGAGCTGCCACAGATTGTGCCTTCTGGGCCAAGTTCTATAAGAGTTTCACACGATATTTCTAAAAGGAAATCTGATCATATCACTTCCTATTTAAAATCTGACAATTTTCCCTATAGCCTTCGGAATAAAGTCTAAACTCTTAACACTACCTACCTACAAGATATTTCACAATGTGGCTCCTGCTTACCCCTTCTTTCATCTTCTTCCCCTTCCAATTCCATCCTCCAAGACATGCGTAAATACTGTCAGGTCACTGAGCATAACATGTTATCCTCTTTTTGAAGTTTGGGACTTTGCATTTGCTATTTCCACCTCTACCCTTGCCTAGAGATATTATATTTCTATGTTACTGCACTTGTCACCCAATATTAAAAGCCCCTCTTTACAAGTCTGTACCCCAGCTGAGAAGACCAGGAACAGCATCTTTTCTTCCCAGTTGTGCTGGCAGCATGTCTAGCACACTGCCAAACATCTAGAAAGTTCTTGACAAAGACATTAAATTTTTAATCAATATGTAAATAAATTAATGAAGTTATTGCCTCCTTTCCATAGGCCCGGACCCTCTCAGTATTCCCAGAATGCCAAATTGATTGTATTACTATCTGTACAACCCCATGCTTGTGCCAACTGATTCTTAAATCAGGTCCATTATTTATTTCATTCCTAGGATAAGTCATCATACCTGGATTACATCATACAGTAGAGGTGGACCAAAAATTCTTCCCCAATTCATCACAGCAACTCAGCTTTCTTTATGTCACTATAAGAAGCTCTATATCTTGAAAGCTAATGCTGAGACCAGCTCCGCTTTTGACCTCTGGTAATCTGAGAACATATTATAGTAAATAATTTACTCTTTGCTCATCAGTTAAGTTGCTTGTTTCAATAAGGGGAAAAATTTATTTTCCTTCCTTAGAAAGTTATCAGTTTAGATGAGTTCTGTGGGAAACAAACTCCGAGATGGAGAATTGCGTGCAAGAAATTTATTGGGGAGTGCTCTAGATGGACAACACCTGGAGAGAAAGAGTAGCACTAGTGGGCAGAGGAGGAGGTTTACATATGATGTGGTTTCAGCAGACATCTCAGCTGGTCTCTACAGAGAGCTCTGGAGCAGAGATGATCCTTCATAATGACCCAGGTTGAGGTTAAGGGTCTGGATGTCTATCCCCTCACCAACCAGTCACGATTTTGGGCTTCCCCTGGGTAGGATGGCAACTTTGGTAAATGCAGTACTCTTCTGCTAAGGTTAATTCCTGGACTAGAAATTAACAGTGAGAGATCAGCAGCTAACACTCCCAAGAATAATCCAGGAGATTTTTTCCAGATGGGGGAAACACTACATGAAGTAAATATATCTGAGAGGCACATGAGGTGGACTCTCTTAGGTACTGGGGTGTGCTGCCCATTCTCCTTTTTCAAGACTGAGGCACTCATTTTTCCACGTGCTCTAAACACAGCAATTCTGGCATAAACATTTTACTTAGTGTGGGTCGTTATTTTATTCATGCTTCTAGTACCATGTATCACCATCTCTTGGGATCCTTGTCGAGATATTAAATACTATATCACGGAGAAATGCTCCATTCATTTTCTGTTGCTTCTATAACAAATCCACCCAGAATAAGCAACTTCATAAATATTATCTTATAGTTATAGAGGGTGCAAATCTGAAATGGGTTTCACTGGGCTAAAATCAAAGTGTCAGTAGGACTGAATTACTTCTGGAGGGTAGGACTCAGTTTTTGTTGTTGTTGCTTTTTCCAGCTTCTAGAGGTTATCCACATTCCTTTGCTTCTATCCTCGATTTCCCTCTTTAAAGTGAGCAATGGAAAGCTAAAATTTTCTCAACATGGCGTTACTCTGACTGATCCCACAGTCACATCTCCTTCCCTGACCCAGTCCTTTCTACCCACTCCCCTTCCAACATTAGCACTTATGATTATTTGCACTGGCTTCTGTGTTTCTTAGATCCGGAAGTTTTATATCTCCGAGTCATTGCTAGATATACCCTTCTTACCAATTTTTAATGTGAATTTTTCTCTCATACTTTCAGGCACAGTTTCCTTCCTTTATTAACTCCTTCCTTTATGTGACTATTACTAAATGTGGCGAAGTGAGGCTTTTAGCTTTAAACAAAGGAAAACAAGTTGCCTGTGACCGTTTTGTTTTTGAATCTGTGAATTTTGGTGGATAAATCATTTAGTTGACTTTTCTGGAACTGTGGACTTACATGGAAATTTAATCAAGAGACTTTATTAGGAGTATGCTTTTAAAAAATCAGAAATTTGAGACTAAATACTGGAGTCTTATTTTTGTATAAAATACACAATTTGAGTGTAGAAATTGAATTCTCACCGGGCGCGGTGGCTCATGCCTGTAATCCCAGCACTTTGGGAGGCCGAGGCAGGCGGATCACAAGGTCAGGAGATTGAGACCATCCTGGCTAACAAGGTGAAACCTCGTCTCTACTAAAAATACAAAAAGTTAGCCGGCCGTGGTGGCGGGCACCTGTAGTCCCAGCTACTCGGGAGGCTGAGGCAGGAGAATGGCATGAACCCGGGAGGCGGAGCTTGCAGTGAGCCGAGATCGCGCCACTGCGCTCCAGCCTGGGCGACAGAGCTAGACTCCATCTCAAAAAAAAAAAAAAAAAAAGAAAAATTGAATTCTCCACCATAATGGAATATATTTTTAAATATAATGTGGAGGAAGAAAAGTTTGTGAAACAGCCAAGGAGAATTATACAACAGGTTTAAATTAATTATTAAATAAAAATTTCTATGAAGCTTTTCTCTGTATTGAACAATGCAAACCTTCTTTCTTTTACTATAAAACTTCCCATAATTATATGTATATCTTAGTCGTGCATGCAATAGCAAAAAATACATATTTGGTTTCAAATAAGTATTTTATATTATTTTTTCTCACAAAACAAAAAGTTCTACTGACTTCAGTCAGTTACTCAATGTCCCAGATTACCCTGTGTTCCCTTCACCATTTTGAGGATGTTTTATGATCATGCTTGATTACAGTGACTGCTGCTGCTCCTGGTGTCTCTATATTTAAAGCAAGAAGTGCTTGATCGGGGCAGAGAACAGAGGGGAGTAAGTGGAACAGACGCTTTCCCACTACTTTCCTCCCTTTTTATGTATCCTGCTTTTACTTATGCCTCATTGGCCAGAACTAAGATTACCAGACCATTCCTGATTAAAAAGGAGGCTGGGCAAACAGGCAACAAATTCTCAGAAGAGGATTTGAACACAAGTAATTTATTTCTGAGCTGATTTCTGGAAATGGTGGTAGGGGACTGAGAAGGAGACAAAGAAGGGGAAGATATCAATAAAGGGGAATTAGCAAAAAATTTATCACTGTGAGCAACTAAAACTCAATCCCACTAGGGATCTGTGGGAGACAGAGGAGAAAGAACATCTATCAAAGTGATCCTAACAAAATGGCAAAGAAACTGGCGTCTTTATTCGCCACTGATTAACAACTGAATCTGGGGAGTATTTCCCTGTGAAACCTTCAGCTTGTTCTGCACTGTGGAAACTGACATGCTGCCAGGGGTAGGGAAAATCCCACAGGCAGACAGTTTCAGGCAGTTGTAATGAGCAAGCTGTAAAGGTAGTGTTGTATGGGACTGTTCCCCAATCAAAACTGTACCTTTCCTAAGCTTAGAAAGAAGGGAGTAGAGGTGGATATTGAATAGGAAGCTGACAAATTCAGCCACACTATGAAAATACTATTAATGAATTGTGGCTGCAATCAATTGAGGGATAATGAAAGGTTCTCAGTCTGTCTTCAGAATGTACATGGGTGAAACCAGAGGCTGTGGGAGGGCTCCCACTACATTTGAGTTACATGAACTCCAGATGTATTGGTTTGAAAAACATTAAAACTTTGCCTCCATTTTAATACGTGGATTATTTGGTACCATTTTTTGGAGGAATTCAGTCATGTCATAAGTATTTATCTATTTCAAATGGTTTAGCTATAACAATTATACCCAGAGAAAAATGTTGTATTAAATGACATGTCAAGAACGCTTATAGTTCAATGATTGTTTGACCAACCAAATTTCTTTTCAAGTACTGACAGCAATTTAGCAAATGCATTTCCAGAAATGATACTAAATGATCATCAGGAAAAAGCAAACAAGTAACTATTTTATACAAACTCTAAACTTCCAGTCATTTGCTTGTTTTCAATATTCCTTTTCTTACCACACCAGGAAAGTCTTTTGTTATGCCACTTCTAATTATAGACATATACAACATGTTTGGATAAATTTGTCTCTCTTAAATATTTGAAAGTAAATTAGCAGGTTCATAGAAATTAACATGTGATGTTAAATTTGCCTTTCTAAATGAAACTAGCTCACTGAAATGGGAGTAATTTTGTGGAGTTCATATATATATATATATATATATATATATATATATATATATATTTTTTTTTTTTTTTTTTTTTTTTTTTTTTCTGAGACAAAGTCCCACTATGTCGCCCAGGCTGGAGTCCAGTGGCACAATCTCGGCTCACTGCAACCTCCGCCTCCCAGGTTCAAGTGATTCTGTTGCCTCAGTCTCCGGAGTAGCTGGGATTACAGGCATGCGCCACCATGTCCAGCTAATTTTTTTGTATTTTTTAGGAGAGACGGGGTTTCGCCATGTTGGCCAGTCTGGCCTCGAACTCCTGACCTCAGGCAATCCACCCACCTCGGCCTCCCAAAGTGCTGGGATTACAGGCGTGAGCCACCATGCCCGGCCTGATGTGTATATATTTTATTGTGCTTCAGTACACTTCACTGAGACAATTAATTGATGTAGTTAATGAGTTATAGTAAATAAATTGCATATATATATATAGAGAGAGAGAGAGAAAGAGAATTTTCACTTTGCCTGTGGAATTATAGATCACACATATTGTTTCCTGTAGTATATATTTTTAGAAGAGCTAAAAAACAAGAAGTTATACCAAACATTCTGATTTTTGCCACAGTCTAGGAATACCAAAAAATGTATTTCTAACTTTATTAAAAATAGACACTTCAGCATTGAGCAAAGGGAAAATGTAAAGATAAATCCATTGAATCTGTAATTGTAAGTATTAGACTATTCCTTTTAAATTTCATGCATTAAGTACTTTCAAAGCAACAATTACTCCAGAGAAAGTTAAATAGACAAGAAAGACTTTATTCAAGGATACTTCAATAGAATAGAGAGGACAGACTTAGTCTAAGCTAGACTTCATTGAATCAAGGGCAGGAGAGTTTTTAAGATCCTGGTTGTGAGTAGCAGGGATTGGAGGTCATCTGTGTTTGCTAATTGGCCTTGGCGAAAGGAAAAGTAACTTTTTCCTATATTTTTGATAAGAAGTAGTTTTACAACCAGGAGCAAAGCACCCAACAAACTTAGGCTCCTACCTTCTCACAGAGAGTGATGTGGGCACTATCTTTTCTTATGATACATTTTAAAGAGATGGCTCCCAGGTCTTTGAGAAAGACAATCCTGGGTTGTGAAACTGGCCAGAAGCTCTTAACAGGATTTACATCTCTAAGAGGCAGAGAAAGAATTTGCAATTACAAGTTTTCTAAATGCTCTAAAGAAAGGGAGGTCTGGGGCCTAGAGGCAGGAAAAAGGCTATCTTAAGTTTGGTCAAGGTGAGGGAAATTCTAAAGCGTCTTGGTCAGTCTTTAATAGGATTTGAGAGCGTTGATATTCTCTTTTGTGAATTATTCATCTGGTGTACTTAAAAAATGGATAAGAAATGAAAATTTATTCTCAAAAATTAGATCATTCCTAAGTCAAAGTGATATCTGCCTTAATTATGAAACTCAGAATTTTTTGAAAAAGAGGACAAATATATAAATTCAGAAGATTCTGCATCTCAAAAACTTTTACACAAAAAAAGAGAATTTTTATATTCCTAATAGAAGCATCAGTATCCAGAGTGGAGATAAACAACAAATTATCTGGCCACTTAAAAGATGAGCCACCTAGGTGTAAGTGAAATGTGTAGGATGGAATAAGAAAAAATGGTGAAACTGATGATGTTTGCCTATTCCCAGACATCTCCTTGCTCTAGGTGCTTGCTTTTCCCTTAGCCTTTGAGATCCCACTCTCCTGGTTTTCATCTGAGCAATCTGGCTACTCCTTCTCAGACCTCTTCTTCCTTTCCTCTACCTTTAAACAATGTATTCTGTCCTTAATACACTTCTAACATAATTCTAAATGCAATTTCCTGGAGCTCAAATCTACTTTTATAATTTTAATGATCTCCTGTATACTAGTGACTACAATGTTTACATAAATAACACCAAAAGTTTTTGGCTGTCTGGTTTCACATTTCATCTACTGGCCAGATATCTCCACAAGTGTATCTGGAATCACCAAACTGGGTTCTTACCCACTGCTCAGAAAAGCCAGACATTGAAAACAGCAGGAGTTGTAGCAGAGAAAGACTTTAATAGTTGTAGGGCCAGCCAAGCAACAGTATGGGAGATGTCTCTCAGATCTACCTCCCCAAGAATTCAGAGGCTAAAGGTTTTCAAGGATAGTTTGGTGGGCATGGGGCTAGGAAATGGGGAATGCTGATTGGTTGGGTTGGGTTGGGGATGAAATCACAGGAAGTCAAGCCTGTCTTCTTTAGCTGAGTTCCTGGGTGAGGGTCATGGGACCAGTGGAGTCAGTTTCTTGGTATGGGTGACTAGCCCAGGTGGCACCAGCTGCTCCATCATAATGCAAGTTCTGAAAAATTCCTCAAGCACCAGTCTTAGGTTTTGTGATGGTGACGTTATCTTTAGGAGCAATTGGCTAGGTTATGAATCTTGTGACCTCCGATGACGTGACTCTTGAACCATAATTCTAGTTTTGTGGCTAATTTGTTAGTTTTGCAAAGGCAGTTTTGGTACCTGAGCAAAGAAGGGGTTAGTTTTGGGAAGAAACACTGATTATCTTTGTTTGAAAGTTAACTATAAACTAAATTCCTCCCAAAGTTGGTTTGTCCTATGCCCAGGAATGAGCAAAGACAGCTTGTGAGGCTGGAAGCAAGACAGAGTTTGCTAGGTCAGATTTCTCTCACTGTCATAACTTTTGCAAAGATGTTTCATATCAACAAAGTGACCCAATGTCAACATATACAAATATACCCTCAATGTCTATTTTTCAAGTTTTCACTTTTTCAAATGTTCATTTGTTTTTATCCGTATAGTTACGTTTGCCAGAAGTTTTGAAGTCATTTTCACATCACTTAAATTGATAGTACATTACAAAAAAACCTTCCTCTTTAAAAACACCATATTGCTCATGTATTATTTCTACTGAGGGCTATTACACTAGCCCCCTTGCAAGTTCTCAACGACTCCTCTTTCTACCAATGTCTTCTGCACTATAGGCAAAGTTATCATTTAAACACAATTAATCCTTTCACTTTCTTGCATAAAACCTTTCGTGGCTTTATGTTGTCTACAGGAATTCAGATTATTTAGCACATTTTGAAAAGTCTTTTATAATCCATCCCCAAGGTTTTGCACACCTATAATCCCAGCACTTTAGGGGGCTGAGGCAGGAGGACTATTTGAGCCTAGGAATTCAAGACCAGCCTTGGCAAAAAAGCAAGATTCCATCTCTCCGAAGAATGTTTAAAAACTAGCTAGGCATGATGGCTCATGCCTATGGTCCAAGCTTCTCGGGAGACTGAAATGAGAGGATCAGTTGAGCCTAGGAGGTTGAGCCTACAGTGAGCCATGATTGTGCCACTGCATTCCAGCCTGGGTGACACAGTGAGACTCTGTCTAAAAAAAAAAAAAAAAAAAAAAAAATTGTACTTATATCTTCCTCTACTCCACATACCTCATTTAATAAATGCTTAAGTTTAACCACACAAAAGAGTCATCATCTATGACTCTACTACCAAACACACTAAACAACACACACCTTCTATGGAACTCTTAAGTCACGCCTTAAATGTCTTAAATGTCTTCTATTCCATAAGATCTTCCTTTACTCATCATGAAGAAAGGGCTGTACTGTTGCTTCTGTGGTCCTAGCTTGACAATGGCATTTATCACATTTAATGTAATAAGCTGTTGTTCTGTGACTGACTTTTGTTTGTGGACAGACCATATCATACTTATTTTGCACCTGAATCTCTAATTTCCTGAAAGCCTCAAAGTGTGTACCACAGTACTGCTACTGGACAGGGACCCTGATCTAGATCCCGAAAGAGGATTCTTGAATTTCACACAAGAAAGAATTTGGGGCAAATCCATAAAGTGAAAGCAAGTTTATTAAGAAAATAAAAGAATAAAGAATGGTTACTCCATACGCAGAGCAGTAGCATAGACTGCTCAAATAAGAATACTTATAGTTACTTCTTGATTATATGCTAAACAAGGGGTGGATTATTCATGAGTTCTCCAGGAAAGGAGTGGACAATTCCCAGAACTGAGGGTTCCTCCCCTTTTTAGACCATATAGGGTAACTTCCTGACGTTGCCATGCTGTTTATAAACTGTCATGGCGCTGGTGGGAGTGTCTTTTAGCATGCTAATGTATTATAATTAGTGTATTATGACAGTGAGGACCACCAGAAGTCACTTTCATCGTCATCTTGGATTTGGTGGGTTTTGGTCAGCTTCTTTACTGCAAACAGCTTTGTCAACAAGGTCTTTTTGACTTGCATCCTGTGCCGACCTTCTATCTCATCCTGTGACTTATAATGCCTAACCTCCTGGGAATTCAGCCCAGTAGGCTTCAGCCTTATTTTACCTAGTCCCTATTCAAGATGGAGTCATTCTGGTTCAAACAACTCTGCCAGTACTACCCAAAGTTTGGTAATTATTTGTTAGTGGACAATGAGAGTACAGTCCTTGCTCTCAAGGAGCTTTAAATCTAGCAGCATAGTTAGTCCATTTCTTATTAATTAAGAAAAGTGTATATATATATGTGTGTGTGTGTATATATATATATACACATATATATACATATATACACATATACACATATATACATATATACACATATACACATATATACATATATACATATATACATATATACATATATATACATATATACATATATACATATATACATATATATACATATATACATATATATACATATATACATATATATATACATATATACATATATATACATATATACATATATATACATATATATACATATATACATATATACATATATATAAAATGAGATCCCAATATTTTTCTTTTAAGATATACCTTACTTATACTTCAATTATATTATCCATCTGATTCTGAATTTTGTTTTTTTGGCGGTTGTGTGCCTTCAAAGAAGACGTTTTCGTGTTTGACTCCTCCTATATAAAATAATGCATTTCACAATCTTGCTTTGTTCAAATTTTACTTCTGTAAACTCTCAAAGACAGTTTTAATATTTGGAACCATCAATTTTTATTTTTGGTATAAGCTTTATTTATGGTCCATTTCACTATTCTGCCCAAGTCATTTTCTCTAGTTTCTTTATATATGATTAACTGAAAGATAAGTTTATATTTAAATTAGGTACTAAATGCTTGAAACAGACAAAGTTTCAAAGGATTTCCCCAAACAAAATTGGTTAAAATCTTGTATTTATCACTGTCTTTTAGAATTATTTTACAATTTTCTGTTATTGCAAAATTTAGAAAAAGTTGAAGCAATTGTTTACATTTATTATAAAACACTTAACTGAATGTCTAACATATTCAAATTCACTTTTAAGGCCAGGAATTTTGTTTTTCCAAATGACCCTCTACCAAATCACAAGGATTATTTTTACTTCATTTGTTTATTTGCTTTGGCATATTCAGCAGTCAGTGTTCTTTGGCTTCAGGCAGTTTTCTTATGCATAGTGAGAATGGATTACTTTATTGAAAAACTAATTATTTGCTCAGAAAATTAACTGGAAGACTGAAAAACTATGACAAAAATAAAGAGAAACTAAAAAAAAAAGTCAGCTGTCTGGGCATCATTAACTACTGGAGCTTTGCATCAAAACAACTGCTGAAATGAATGAACTCTAATTTTTTTTATACCTTTGGATCACTTCACTAATGTGTTTTGGTCTAGGAAAGTTAGTAAGATTGACTTATCAGGTTTCATGGGTCCACTCTTCGGTTAAGAAAGAGCAAGAAATGTTCATTTTCTATCTTTAGAGACTCTTTTTTTGTGGAGGAGCTGGGGTCCAGAACTTGGCTGAATTAATTCTGGATGGTAAAAATCCTAGTAGCAACTGTGGGGGCAATTGCTCTTGGCCCCCTGGAGGTTAGCTAAAAATTATTGATATGAGGTAGACGGATTAATTGGAGGAAAGGCATGCAAATTTATTTAACGTGTATTTATTTAACAGGAGCCTTCGGAATGAATACCCAACTTCTTAATAAGCTACAGAAACTTATATACTATCTCAAGGTTTCAAAAAGAATGGGAGCTTGGATCCTTGTAAAACAGGTTGTGAGAAGAAGGAAAAGAGGAATTCTCTTGAGGAGGAATCAATGATTACTATCAGAGAATGAATGGATCCAGGCACAGAGATGAACTTGTAAATAATTCTGTTTGCAATTTTAATGATCCTTGGAAACAATCTTTATCTTGAAAAAGGTTCTGTTCAAATTTGGTTACATTTTTTATCTTACAAGGAGGGGAAGAAAACTGTTGTTTTCCTTGGTGGGTCTGCATCTTAGGCAGTTAAAGGAATTTAGGTTTCTTTGGGAAGAAGTTGTGTGGGGGTCGGGAGGAAGGTCGGAGAGCCCTTTTGGCTTCTTCAATCCAGCATGCCAAAACATCATATTTTAAGCTATTGGTGTCTGAACCCCAACACTACTTAGAAGTTACCTTTAGAGAAAATTGTTTAATATATTTTTTTCTAATTTACTAAAACACAGATTCCCAAATATATTGTTTTATCCCAGTGAGTCAAAATATAGCACTGTGAGGCCTCTGAGCCCAAGCTAAACCATCATATCCCCTGTGACCTGCACGTATACATCCAGATGGCCTGAAGTAACTGAAGAATCACAAAAGAAGTGAAAATGGCCTGTTCCTGCCTTAACTGATGACATTACCTTGTGAAATTCCTTCTCCTGGCTCATCCTGGCTCAAAAGCTCCCCCACTGAGCACCTTGTGACCCCGGCCCCTGCCCACCAGAGAACAACCCCCTTTGACTAATTTTCCTTTACCTACCCAAATCCTATAAAACGGCCCCACCCCATCTCCCTTTGCTGACTCTCTTTTCGGACTCAGCCCGCCTGCACCCAGGTGAAATAAACAGCCTTGTTCCTCACACAAAGCCTGTTTGGTGGTCTCTTTACACAGACGCAAGTGAAAAACACAAATTGCAAAATTATATTACATTTGCATTACTTGATATGGCATTTTGCATATTTCGAGATGATGGGTAGATATGCTTTTAAAAAACATTCTTTGTATGAACCTGACATACAGTGGATGAAATGATGAAATTGAAACATGTTATCCGTTTTCATGGCATCAACAATTTATAACCCAGTGACTTCTAAATCTGCATCTCCAGCCCAGCTTTCTTTTCCAGGGTCCAGATTTGTATATCCAAATTCTTTTATCCTCACTTTAACATTGCATAGGATCACAATCTCAACATGTTGAAGATGAACTATCAGCGTTTGCTCCACTCCATATTTCTTTCCAAAACTTGCTCTTCTCCAAAATTCCTGCTAATTTAATGATTTATCTCTGAATCAGGATAGGGTTGAATATGCTGTAGTAAAAGATAATTCTTGACATTTCAGTGCATAAACACAATTAGTTTGGTTTCTCACTCTTCTTACCATGCAGTGAGGACCAGGCACGTCTCTTGGGAAGTTCTGTCACATGGAGCCAGGGAACCAGACTGCTACCGATCTCGTAGCTGGACCGTTTAGAATAAATGTATTCTGATATTGCCCTGAGAGAGAGAGAATGGCTTTGTGGATTGTGTGTAATGTTTTTAAGATTTAGGCCTGAAAGTGGCTTTATCACCTCCACCCATGCTGGCTAGAAGCCAGTGACATGGTATACAACGTAACCGTAAGGAAGGCTGGGAAATGTATTCATGTGCCCCACAAAAAGAACGTGGTGAGTTGAACACAAAGTGTTCTTACCTTTACCAATTCATCATTTATCTATCTGCTCAAACCAAAAATGTGGGAGATATTAACTTTTTTCTTCTTCATACCCTATTTCTAATCATTTAGTTCTCCTTATTTTACTGATTAATTTCTCTTGAACATACTCAAATATTTTTCACCATCACTGTCTTTACTCTGATTCAAGCCTTTATTATTTTCCTACAAGCTTATTGCTATGTAAGCTGAAAATAAAATTCTATCCCCTGAAAATGACTCTTGGCCAAGAGGACCCTAGAGTAACACCTTGAAAACTGAGTTTCCACCATGGTAAGATAGGAGGTTAGACATGCCTCGTTATTCTCTTTCCTGCACTAACCACAATTAGGCTTTATCCCGAAGTGCTAAATCAGGTGTGTCTAATCTTTTGGCTTCCCTGGGCCACATTGGAATAAAAACAGTTGTTTTGGGCCACACATGAAACACACTAACAGTAATGATAACTGATGAACTTAAAAAAAAAAAAAGATGCAAAAAGAATTCATAATGTTTTAAGAAAATTTACAAATTTCTGTTGGGCCACATTCAAAGCCTTCCTGGGCTGCATGTAACTTGTGGGCTGCAGGCTGGATAAGCTTGGGCTGAAACCAGCCCTTTCAGAAGACTCCAAGGGACCACCCACAAAGGAGTTGTTCTGGACAGTCCAGGAGAAGCTCAGTATGGGTTTTTGTGTCCTCTGCTTCACCTTTTGACTTCAGAGGGCCAAAAATTCCACCGTTGGATTATGCTAACACAGCCATTTTTTTGTGCATGGGACTCACAAAGAGGCAAGAAGCTCAATTGCCCATGCACATGTTTCCCTTTTCATAAATAGTCATGGCCCCTAAAGCTTACTGAATATGTATATTTGGCCACCATGGTCAATATAAATTCCTGTTCCTTTTGCTGCTCCGTCGAAGTGTCTGCTTCTGGCTTCTGGCCTGAGGCTATGCTTCCCAGCTTGTCATAATGGTCCCCCTGCTGGCTGCAGCCATTTACCAGAAATAAAGCTCTTTTTTCCAAATTTATGAACCTCCTCATTCTTAAGTTGACAGCTATAGCTCAAGTTATTTTCCTCTGATGCCTGAAAAATCCTTTCAGATTAAAAATGAAACTAAAAAAACACGTATTCTTTAAAATTATTCAATGGCACCCAATATTCCTCAGGCTACTTTCTTAGCATGCTGTATAGGTCTTTCATGATAGGAATTCTGCTGAAATCCTTCCTCTCTCCCCTAATCCTCACTCTAGATCTGAATTCTGCAGACAGATAAGGTCTTCTTTCCTCCTAAATCTTCACATAAGCTTGGTCTTTTGCATGGATTACTCTTCAATGACTCTCTAACTCCTACTGATGTTTTATAAATCAGCATCATTTCTTTCGCTATGTCCTTCCTAATTTGAGTACTACATTTGCTCCCACAAAACCACTTTCCTTTTTTCATAACATTCTTAATTTTTTTTAATTTGGTTAAATTTATGTTACATGTTGGATATAAAATGCTCCAGGAATAAGTGCTCAGTGCCCTGTGCCGCAAAGTAAAACCAGCACTCAGGCAAAAGTTTAATTCTCTCAAGGCAATTTACTGATGCAGAAGGGTGCCACTCATGTCAATCAAGATTGCAAGAGCACAGAGAACAAAGGAGACCAGGGGGTTTTTATCCTTAATGCAGTCTCTATCTCTGTGTCACTCCCCCATGGGCTGGGGTCGGACCGCACAATCTGAGCTGACCCAATTGGCTACTTGTATATATTTTTTCTAAATATAGAAGGGGAGGAGAACATGAGGTACAGAGGTGGAGTGTGTGAGACGTGCAGTTTCGGGGGAACAATGGGTACAGGTAACCAAGGGAACAGATGTGAGTTATTGATTAGAGCTGAAGGGAAGGAGTTAGGCTGTTTACATTAACTAGGGACAAGGAAGAACAAGAAAGTTGAGTTTGAGAACAAAGGATAAGGAAGTTAACAGGCTAAACACTTTGAAGGGAAACTCAGAAAGATTGTATCTTACAATACACAAGTGCAATTTTGTTACATGCATAGACTGCTTAGTGGTGAAGTCAGAGTCCCAGCGAGACAAAGTCTTGGTTTATCTCCCAGGCTGGAGTGCAGTGGCGCCATCTCGGCTTACTGCAACCTCCACCTCCGGGGTTCAAGCAATTCTCCTGCCTCAGCCTCCAGAGTAGCTAGGATTACAGGCGCATGCCACCATGTCCAGGTAATTTTTGTATTATTTCAGTAGAGATGGGGTTTCACCATGTTGCCCAGTCTGGTCTCAAACTCCTGACCTCGTGATCTGAGTGCCTTGGTCTCCCAAAGTGCTGGGATTACAGGCATGAGCCATGGTGCCTGGCGTACACGAGTTTTTATAACCAGCATTAACTGCCCCCAATATGTATGGCGAGATACCAACCAGTAACCATTTACATTAAATACCTCTGGATTTCTCCCCACTGGGAAATTGTCTCAATATGGTGATTAATTTACAACCCCGATATGACCTCAGTGTTACCAATCCAGCTACCAGATGAGGCAATAATTCAAGATACATCATCAGAGCAAGTCATGTAGACCTGCACCTTCTGGCCCACCCCACTGCATGCTTTTTATACTAAACCTGACTTTTTAAGTCCTTGCTTTCCTCCAGGGAAGCTGAAGCTGTTTCTTTAGATGAGAATCTGGCCACTTCCCCACTGCTAGCTCTGGATTAAAGTTACTTTATTTTAACTGCATCTTGTCTTTATTATTTTGGCTTTGCAAATGGAGAGCAGTGAAACCTGCATTGTGTTACATCCCCAGTAGCTGGGACTGCAGGCGTACACCACTGTGCCTGGCTAATTTTTAAAATTTTGTTGTGGAGATAGGGTCTTGCTTTGTTGTCCAGACTGGTCTCAAACTCCTGGTTGTCCAGACTGGTCTCAAGAAATCCTCCCACCTCCGTCTCCCAAAGTGTTGGGATTATAGGTGTAAGCCACTGTGCCTTTCCTCAACATTTTAAAAACTGCAGTTAGGATGGGTAGAAGTGGTTGAGCAGTTTTGTTATCACTCTCAGTAAGAATGCTTCTTGCTCGGCCGGGTGTGGTGGCTCATGTCTGTAATCCCAGCACTTTGGGAGGCTGAGGTAGGTGGATCATGAGGTCAGGAGTTCAAGACCAGCCTGGCCAAGATGGTGAAACCCCATCTCTACTAAAAATAATAAAATTAGCTGGGCACAATGGCAGGCACCTGTAATCCCAGCTACTCTGGAGGCTGAGGCAGGAGAGTTGCTTGAACCTGGGAGACGGAGGTTGCAGGGAGCTGAGATCATGCCACTGTACTCCAGGCTGGGCAACAGAGTGAGACTGTCTCAAAAAAAAAAAAAAAAAAAGAATGCTTCTTGCTCAATCTCATAAGTATTTTCCCAAAAGATGTGTGGAAGTGATGTTAAAAGAAAGGAGAAAACAATGCTAGAAAAAAGAAGCAATAGATGTCTTCATGTCCTGACCGTTTATCCAGGTTTCTATAATCAAGTTTTATCTTGGTTGATTTGGCTTCTTAGAATCCTTTTTATGTATTAGAAAAAAAGAGGAAAGAATAGCAGAAGGTTGGTTTATAAAGTCTTCTGAATCTTGGTAGTCCTCCCATATCTAATCACATTGCTTTATGCACAGTTGATAAACTGCAAACACCTTTTTACTGATTTTTCCAGTTATTTTAGTATTCTATAATACATAATTTAAAGTATTTAGAATAATTACTTAAATAAATATTAGGGATATTTAACTCACTACATTTTTGAAGACTATTTTAAATAAGTGCGTATCTGAAATGATTTTATAAATTAATTGGTATTCTTTATTTGACAATAGAGGATATTAAAACCCAAATGGGATATATAACATAAGCTATAATATTCTGCAAGTAAGGGATAGACCCACAGGACTGCAAAGCTATGCAAGTCCAACCTGAACAATCTAAAACTCCTGGGGCAATATATAGGAGGACTCTGGCTAGAATCCAGTACTCCAGGCCCCAGTTTAGCTTCCATTGAGCATGTTCTTCTTGCTGGAAGCTCTCAAACTTTTAAATTTAAACTCTGATTTTTTGGGAAATAAAAAATCTCCTTATCTATGATTTCCCATCCTACCTGGAGAAATAATAATGTGCAAAGTAGTCTAGCTTCTGTAAGAACTTACTTTCTGGAGTTTGTGTTAAAAACAAAATAAAACAATAGTTTTCATTATATATGTTTTTAAATATAAAAATATATTATCATATTAAATAGGCTTAAACTTTATTTATTCTTCCAAAGATATTGAAATATTTTTTTCCATCATGCTTACAGCCTTCAAAATCTTTGCAATATATAATAATACTGCTTAGTTAGAACCTTTTGATACTTTAAAATGTAGGTTGTCATTTGAAGTATGTGCCATGTTTGTAGGTAGCATTTTATTTCATATTTCATGAAATATAAAGTTAATATCTTTAAATATTAAATGATAGTAGCCCAAATATTATTTTGCCAAATAAGTTGCTTAAAGTGTTTACCTTTTATGTGGTCAACAAAGATTTCTGAAGGTGATCCAGGTCATGTGTCTAATGCAGAACTGATCTTGTTATAGGTATGAGATTATCTTACTTTAAAACTCAAATCCTGTCATTAAATCACTGACAGAGCTTTCATTTCAAATGTGGCCTTTAAATGCATAACATACAGAAGGACAATTAAAGATACTCATAGTCTGTTATCATTGCCATTGGTTCTGCTAATGAGTCCTGTGACTTGTTTCAGAATAAAAATGCTACTCCTGAGAAAGCTTATCAATCTAAGCAAGTGAGTCTTTATCATTTTGCCCTTAAATAGATAGTGTTCTGCGACTTTGAGTTTGGGGAGCAGTGCTAGAAGAAACTCTTTATAAAAGAGCTATTAGTCTTGTGCAGTCTAGGATCTGACAGCTCATGAAGTGACACAGACCATTACATTACCAACACAATTTCCAATTCCTTAGGCATCTCCAGCACTTCTGGAGAAATACCTTAGCTGTTTTTAAAATTTTCTTTCCTTTTCTTTATTTTTCTTCATTTTTTAAAAATGTTACTAGATTTTCATACTAGATTTTTCAATGAAAACATATGCTCTTTGGTTGGAAGTCTTCACTCTAAATGTCTATTTTATACCTTATGTGATCATAACTTGTTAATATTTTAGGTAGAAAAAACCAATACAAATAGCGAAAATAATAATAGTAATAATAATTGGCTTTTGCAAAGAAATACATCTATTTATTGAAATAAAGTTCAAGAATTAGAACCTTATATTAGCATTGTTATTATTTGTAATTTTGAAAAACTTAAGCGGTAGTTCTCTGAGTTTCTAGAGAGGAATGAACTAGATATTTAAGTAGGAAGATTCTAATATGGACATTTCTCAAAAGGACAAATAGCATAGGTGTAGTTTTTATAACAAAATGCCAGTGTTTAACAATATATTTAATACATACTTATTTTTAATACATTTGTAATCTAAATGTCATCTATAGACAGTCTCATAAGTTCAAACTTTAAAAACAGCAGTGATATATTTCCTATTTTAGATGCGAATTTTCTTTGGAGAAATTAGTGCATCAGAACAGCTATCTTCTTGGGTGAAGAAAATGATATTAAACCAACTGCCTGCTGTATTATCTCAGTGTATGTTTATTTTATTGATCTTAACTTTTACATCGAAATTTTTTGTAAACTTTAAAAAAAAACTTGATATTCATTATTTATTGTCTTGTGGTCTTTCCTATAGAGCAATGCTGTATTTCTAAGGCACTGAAACTGACGTTTTCTGTTATATGTTAGGTATCTTGTGGATGTAAGAGTATAACAGGTAAGGTGAAAATTAACTCAAGCCAAACTGCGTCATCAAATAGTTCTTTTTTTCTGTTTCCACTCACTCTTCTCCTTCTGCCTTATGCCAAATTTTCCATTTCAGTTATTTACAAAGGTTGGGAATACACTTACGAGAACCACATGAGAAAATAGAGGAGAAGCAAAAGTCCTCCTTAAAAATCTACGCCTTGGCAAGCTTCTATGTTTCTGTGCTGCTAAATACTATTTGGACTTATATACCATGTGTGCTGGGATGGTAATGAAGGTCAATTGTTCACAAAATCTACTCTAGACTAGATTTTCTTATTAACATTCCAAATTATTTGAAGGCAGTTAAAATACTATTGTTTCAAGCTAAAGGAATTTAACCCTTGTAGAGATATTCAGGAATCTGACCAAAATGCTCTCATGATCCAAAGAGAGTATCTTGAATAGTACATACATTCAATTGGTGCAAAGTATTTGTCTGTGAATTATTTCCTTCAGGATTGTCAGATTTATTATCCTGCCTTAAAAGGCTCTTATTTGATTTTTATGTCTTGGATTCTTATTTCATGGCTCAGGGATTGGTGACATCTTTGTCTCCAAGTACTTGCAGAGGCAATAAGAAATGTCTAAGGTCTAAGACAAACATGAAAGAGAAGAAAAAATAGGTAAAAATATCTTTGGACACACAAAGTCCCCATCATTGTATTCAGTTTTAGAAAATTATATTTTTTCTTCAAAAATTATGAAGATAAGTTAATATATTTTATTATAATTTTATAACCAGTATTTGTAATTATTTTATGATCAGTGAAATCAGTATATCCTTGAAATAGAACATGTTTTTATGTGGCATTTACATGCTAAAGAAAATATCAACCTTAAGACTAGCAAAAACAAATAATTTTAGGTTATCTAGGAATCCTGATCTGGAAAGTATGTTTAATAGTACATGATCATTTTAATGTTGTAACTTTTTGTATAATTATATTCAAACATGTGAAGAACAATTAGAAGGAGATTAACTCTGAGATTTGAAAAATTTAACACATGGTCCATATTATCTGCTTAGAAAACTTTAATTCTTTAATTTATTTACTGATATGGTTTGGCTGTGTCCCCACCCAAATCTTATCTTAAATTGTAGCTCCTGTAATTCTCACGTGTTGTGAGAAGAACCCGGTGGGAGACAATTGAATCAAGGGGGCAGTTTCCCTCATACTGTTCTCATGGTAGTGAATAAGTCTCATGAGATCTGATGGTTTTATAAGAGATTTCCCCTTTCACTTGGTTCTCATTTTCTCTTGCCTGCCACCATGGTTAGATGTGCCTTTCACCTTCTACCATGATTGTGAGGCCACCCCAGCCATGTGGAACTGTGAGTCCATTAAACCCCTTTTTCTTTATAAATTACCCAGTCTCAGGTATGTCTTTCTAAGCAGTGTGAGATAGATTAATACATTTACTTAATTCGTTTTAGTTAAAAAAATATTATCCATCATCTAGATTCCTTCCATTGTGTTTGGGAATCAGATTCATCAAAGATATTTCAAAAATGTATTCATATGCTAAAATTTGATGTAAATAGTTCTTGAAAGGTGATCAGAATGCTTCATAATAATTGGTATTGACCCTTGATCTATCTTTGTTGCATCTATATTTTAAAAATTGTTTTAGGAAAAAAATTGAAGTGATTATTTTTCTAATTGATAAATTTTCTTAAAAAAGGTCAGAAGTTCTTATAAGGATTATTTTTACTTTTTAATTAAACTAAAACTCTTTGTGGTCCATCTGGTCAGTGTATCATATTCTTATGATCATCTTTATTGTACTATTATATGAATTTCTTTTATGAAAAACCAACATGTACTCTACGTGTCTTAATGCAAATTTCATTGTGTAGTAAAATTGTTATTGTATGTTTGATAATATGTGCTTTGAAAATAAGAACCAACCAAATGAGAAAATAAAGATTATTGCTATAGAAAATAAATCAGCCATCATGACTTATGTTTTAGCAATGACTCAAAGGCAGGCAGAGGAACTGGAGACCTTCATGGCGGAAAAAAGGGAAGGCATCACGTATGCCCTGATTGGATGCTTTCGGCATGGGGAATTTACGAAGGTTAACTAGAAAAAGTATTCTGTGTGATTGGTTAGTGGTGCATATTTGGGTTTCTCTGGTTGATTATCTGTTGAAATTGGGGACAAAAATTCAGAAAGCAGTCAGTTATTAATCAAGTCCTAGTCATCCTGGGTTGACTCTTAGAAAAACTATAGTTTGGCTTCCTGAATTGTCACTAGAGATAGCAATCTGAGCACCGTAGCTTCCAAGGCTGTTTGTTGCAGATATGATGGTTAGTATCCTGGAAAGTTGGTGCAGATTGTGTGTCAAAGTCCTGTTTTTACATATGTATATTTATTCTCTCAGTGTTAGTAAGAATTCCATTAGAGAAAAAGTTTGAATTAAATGTCCTACATTAAGATCCTGTTACCTTTTCTGAATGCAGAGAACATTAATCTAAAGCTCTCATTTTCTTTTAGATCAATGATAAATATAAAATAAAAGAATAATTCATTTTAATAAAAAGCATGATTCAAATGATATTTATTTTAATAAAAATAATTTCATCAAAATCTCAATCTCAACTATTAAACACCTACCAGTAAGTTTTTTTCTCTTTCTTCCATACCACTTATCTTAAAAGTAAGAGAAATCAGTTATTAAAGCTATAATAATTATAAGAAATCTTAAATTGTTTTTAAGCATGTTTACCAAAAATCCACCTAAGTGGATGAAAGTACTTATGTTTTTCAAGAGGCTTTGTTTAGTATGTACTGCGTGAAAGACTTTGTGTACGCAGCAGTGAGGAAAGCAGAAAACATATCTGCTCTCAGAAGAAGTAAATTCTAATTGTGAAGAGAGACATTAAGTAAAGTCTATAAGAAACTATGTTTATGCAATAACTAATCTGTTTATCTAAAAGTTAAGGATAAGAAAGATTATTTATAAGTTTAAACATAAAACTTTTAAGTGTTATTTTATTCCTTCTTTCTGAGTTTAAAAGAAAAACTTAGTTATTCCATCAGTTTGACCTTTATTGACAAGACTTTAGGATTCATTTTGAATGTTTATGTGGCTGTATTAATAAAGATATTTTCAAGTGTTACTCACACAATTCCATTCCAAATTACAGGTGTTTTAAATAGTAAGATCCTTTATTTTGTCATATAAGAAGTCCAGGAACTTCAATTCTATGTTATTTTATTGTTAAATAAATAAACAATGTTGATCCGTTAGGATCAACAACATCGTCCAGAATCCAGGTGTTTCTATCTTTCTTTTATGTCTTTCATAAGGAGTGTGGCAAATACGGTAGACAGCTCACTCCATTTTCAAACACCACGTACTGCCTTCCTCTAACATAGGGGCTGGAAAGAAAAAAATTCACTTTCCCAGACTCTTTTCCTTTAAAGAGGGCTCCTGTGGAAAAATATTTTGTTTTTCCATGAAGTCATTTTGACTTCCTCTTCCTTTCTTCTTCCTCTTTTTACTGTTTTGACCATAGACATGTTGGCTGAGGCATGATGTACTGCCATCCAGTACTAATAGGAAGAATTAGAGAAGCCTTCTTTTGGATATCCTTAGAGCCGCTATACAGAAGCCAGAAAACACCAACTCTCACACTTTTTGTTGAGTGAGAAGAACAAAAATTTAAATCTGTTAAAACTTTGTTTCTGTTATTTACAATGACATGAAACAAAGACATGGTTTCTTTGTTTTACAGTGTATCTGTATGGTGAAAAAAAAGGCTGGAGCAGTTCCAGAATCACATGCAGACATAACATTATTTAAGAAAGAAGATGGCATAAGCTTCTGTGCATCTCTTGTAGTGAAAAAACTCTCCCGCAAAGTTTACCAGCAGAGCTTCTCTAAGTCTTAACAGATCAAGACTAGGTCACATAACAATTTGTAAAATATCTATTGACAAAAGAAACAAGACCAATATGTTTGGATTGAACCAACCACAATTTTTTACTGGGGTTTGAAATAGCATCACCATTTTTGAGTTCATGGCCTTGTAAGGGATGGACAAACACTGCTTCCGCTAGGAGGAACAAAAAGAATATATACGGATAGGCAAACAGCAGCATTCTCCACACTGATTTAGGATGTAAAATTTCAAACAATGGGGTCATATAATTTTGATAAGACCTAACATAGAGCTAAGGCCATAGGTATTAACAGGAGAACATTAACATAATGAGAACATCATATTTAAAATTCGAAGTTCTCATTCTTAAAAGATGGACATATATTGTTTAAAAACAAAAAAGACAGAGAAACTCTAATTGGATTGTTTTAAATATGACAAGATTCTTTGGAAATTTAACATTATTGAATGAATACAAGAGTTTGTTTCCCCGCTATCAAGTGTCTCTTACATTGAATTAGAGAAGGAGAAGAAGGGAGGAGGTCAGGAAGACAACCTCTCCTACTCCAGTTCTACCATAATAATATTATTGCATCTCTTACATTTTGGTCTTCCTTTTATGGTTTCCTTTCCACAACAAAATAATGCTAGAAACCAAATAGATAATCTGCTAAATTGCAGGACCTCCAAGCTCCCTTCCAAAATGGAAGAAGTTTGATTAATCTATAAAAATAATCTGAATTATCAGGATTAAATTTGTGATTTTTCCATTTTTGTATTCATATGTAGGGCTTCATAATCTTCTGAGCAAATTCATAAAATTTGCATGATTCTGAAGAACTATATCAGTATGAGCAAGTTCCTGAATAAGGATTTAGAAATCACGTACAAATCTTATCTGAACACATACGTTAGTAAAAATATTGTTAGTTTGCATTACAGAGGCTTTGACTAATGATCCTGGTGAGCTATCATTATTATTTTATATTATTTTTTATTTTAAAGGATAGTCTTCAGTCTGTCACTATATAAAACAGTTTTTTAGACTTTACTCCAAAAACATGTAACTATTTTTTTCTTAAAACATTGACACTCAGTGATACTGGTTACAGTATAATTTATACCATTGGTCTTCTTGTGAAGTTTTATTCCTCATTTGTCAGTTTACTCAGTTCTGCTCTTCAGAGTTATGCAAAAAATTACAATTACAATGCAAAAAATGTCAAAAAATTAGGACATTAATCAATTTGACATTTGTCCTGGACAAATACAGTCAGAGAAAAAATGGTAAAACTTTCCAGGTTTTGATGTATTAGTACTAATAAAAATATTTATAATGACTGATATTTCTCTAGACTTCTATGCTTTGGAAAATATATATTTAATTTTTTTCATAATGAGCACAATCCATTTAATGGGGAAGTGAAAACCTACTTAATGGAAAAGACATAATAACAAAAATCTTTAAGTCTTTTAATCTAAAAATTCACATCATGTTTATTAGATATTTTTCTATTATGCAAATAATTATTATAGATAATGCAGAAAAGTAGATAGATGATAAACACATCATCTAAAGTCCACCCACTACCATAACTTTTGAAGATTTTCATCTAGCTTCTAGCTTTGTTTTCATATACAGTACTCTATTTTCATTTTTTAGCCATGATCATTGGGTACATCTGTGCGAGCATGTTTTTAGGTAGTTAATAAACTTGTTCATTAAATATTATATTTCTGTTTCCTTAATGGGCCTGTGGGCACATGGTAAATTTGCAGTATCCTACATGTTTTGAAATGGTGAGACCGGTGACTTGGCAATGATACGTCGGGTACAGGATGTGTGCTACCTTCTGGTTCATTTTTGCTTGTTTGTTTATTTGTGTTTTTTCTTTTTTTTTCTTTTCTGAGACAGAGTCTTGCTCTGTGTCTCAGACTGGAGTGCAGTAGCCTGATGAGCTCACTGCAGCTTCAACATCCTGAGCTCAAGCAGTTCTCCCATCTCAGTCTCCCGAGTAGCTGAGACAACAGGCGTGCACCACCATACTCAGCTATATATTTTTTAAAATTTTTTTGTAGAGACGGGTCTCTCTATGTTCCTCAGGCAAGTCTGGTTTCAGTTTTAAAAGCCATTGTGTGATCACCATGTCTCCTTCCCAGTGGTACGGACCTGGAGGAAGAATGTATCTTAATTAAGCCTCTTAGCCGGAGTCTCTGATGAAAAATCTAAAAGCCCCCTAGATGACCTGCAATTACATCTATGGTATAAGTAAAAATTTGACATTTATTGTGTTAAGAAAATGCAAGATTTGGGGTTTAGTGTGTTAAGGGACCATGGACAGCCTATCTTGAAGGACATACGCATTACCTACTATTTTTTCTCTCTGTATCAGAACCCATGAAAATGGCCTGTTTTTTAAATTCTTCTTTAAAGAAAAGAATCCTGACTCTAACATAATTCACTTCACTTGCTTCTTTACTATTATGAATGACCATGTGATCAACATCATTGAGAAGAAAGTTGTCTGTATGTTTGTGTGTGTTGAAGCACTTTTTATCTTGTTATAAATTAACTGTACTTTTAAGAATGTTCTAAGGTATATCATCCTATGTTTCTATGGCCTTTGTGCATATTTACTTAAATAAATTAATTTTAAACTTTAAATTTACATTATTATCTAATACATTTTTATAACAATTATTCTTCAATGTAATTTCTTTGGCAATGGTTTCCTTTTCTCAGTTTTAGAAGTATGCTTAAAAAAAAAGATTTGCTTTTGTACATATCGTCACTGCCTAGCTCAGAATAAATTACATTTTAACTCTATGTGTTTAAGGAAGTAACTACAATATATGATATTGCAAACTCTATGGAAATCAATACTAAAAACAGAATGTTTAAGAAAATCTAGATACATGAAGAAAAAACTTTTAAAAATAAAATATATGTTAAATGCAAGGTAGAATAAGTAAGGTGTTGTTAATCTTAGTGTAATCTGTATTAATTTATATGAACATTAGAAATATCAAAAATAAATTACCAGGTGCAGTGTTGCATGCCTGTAGTCCCAGCTACTCGGGAGGCTGAGGCGGAAGGATCCCTTGAGGTCCGTCTGTGCAACACGGTGATTCTCCGTCTTTTAAAGACACAAAATAAATGAAGTCTCCTATTAGTAGAACCCTTGAAATTTATGCTAAGTAGCTGAAGTATGCATGACCTTGATCAATTATCTAATACGTCCGCTTATAAATTAACAATTCTAAAAACATAAATAGCAAGTTACTTACAATAACACTTACTTTTTAAATTTGTAAAATGGAATTAATAATAGTGCCTATCTCCAAACATATTTTTGAGGGTTACATATAGTGGTGTAAGTTAAAGATTTAGCACAGTTCTCATGTAGATAAAACTTCGATCTTCATAAAAAAATTTTTCTTTGCTATTGCTCATTTTAACTATTATGTCTAATGGAATTTATTTTCTTTATGTCTATTTTACATGGAGGTTCCGTCAGTATTCTTTAAAAGTAATGTGTTTTCACTAGTATATTCATTGGTTGTCATTCTCAAAGCAGAACGAGTCTTCACAAATGTGTATGCACGTTCCTTTGATTTTACTTGCATTTCCACATCTTTGAGTCTAGGTTTGTCTTGCGTTTGGCTTTGAATACTAGAGTGTGGCAAAAGTGAATGGATTATAAGTCAAGGCCTAAAGAAGGCTTATAGCTTGCCCTCTTAGAAAGTGGTACATCATTGAAGAAGCTTTGGCTAGCTGCTTTAAACATATGATCATACAAAACAGACAAACCATCCAAGCAGAAGCACCTTAGACCAACTATCCTGCCAGCCAAAGTCCAGATGATTCCAGAAAAATCAGCCACTTGAATTGCTCGCATACAGAATTTTGAGCCAATTAAAACTTTATTTTAAATCTTGGAGTGGCTTGTTAAACAATAAAAGGTAAATAAAAAATATCATTAAAAATATTCAGTTTCTTTCATAGTTTCCCTGGGCTGAGCCATCCATTCAATAATTATTTTTTGTAAACCACAAACAAAAGAATTATAGTTATTGAATACTAACTACATGCTAGACACTGAAGATACAAAGTCAAAGCCGCAAGATTCAAATTTCAATCAATGGATTCTGGGTAATTTTCTAACTTGCCTCCCTATTTTCTGCTATTTCATATCTTACCCATTAATGCCTTTGCAATGGGTAAATTTCCCTAAACACCATTTCCAAACATCATTTGTGTGCCTGTGTGTGTGTGTTGGTGTGTGTGCATGTCCACACACACACACGTGCCAAGGATTCCAAGAAAAAATTATTCCCTCCCAGCACTTCCCATAATCACAATCATGCAAATAAAACTACCAAATCATTGTAATTTAAAATAATGAGCAACATAATAGAGGCATAAAGGGATTAATATGAGGGCAATGTAAAAATTTCCAGGAACAGTCAATCAAAATTTCATAGACTGACAATTAAGCAAGGTCTAGGACAATCTTTTGTCAGATAGAGAAAAGTAAGCAGGCCACTATGGACAATGAAAAAACTCATGTTCAAAGAAATGAAAAGTGAATGTACATAACATGTTTAAGGATAATGAGTATTCTACTTGAGAAGCATTAAAAAAAATAAGGATAATGAGTAGAGTTCAGAGAATAGATTCTCAAAAGTTGTATTTGAAAGGTAGACTGGGTCAGACCAGATAGAAAGTCTTTTTTGAAGACCAATATGAGTATATTATTTTACATACAAGAAAGCAGGCTTAAATAATGTGAAAGCTGGGTATCATACTTACCTAGCTAATAGGTGATAACAAATTAGCACTTTGAATATAAAGTTCTACACATGATTTTATTGTATGGTATCATAAATTTTATTGTACTTTGAATTAAAGTAATGTAGACATTCAGTACTCAATTTTTAGGGGTCTTTTTCTTTTAGGCAAAGATGACCCACTGCATTTGGGTTTTTTTCAGTTTTTATTATTAAAAAATATTTTGTAGAAATGAGGTCTCACTATATTGCTCAGGCTGGTCTCAAACTCCTAGATTGGAGCAATCCTCCTGCCTCAGCCCCCCAAAGTGCTGGGATTACAAGCCATCACACTGCATTTGAACTGACTTTGGCTAAAAAACTAATATGGCCAAACAAGCCCACGATATATCTGACTTCTGCTGAAAACATGAGCTGAACCCGGTATCAACAGAATCTTTCCCTCCCTCTTGTCTCTTCTCTCCCCTCTTAGCAGCCCTCTTCTTCTATGTTGATTCCATTTTCTTTTTTTTTTAATTTTATTATTATTATACTTTAAGTTTTAGGGTACATGTGCACAACATGCAGGTTTGTTACATATGTATACATGTGCCATGTTGGTGTGCTGCACCCATTACCTTGTCATTTAGCATTAGGTATATCTCCTAATGCTATCCCTCCCCCTTCCCCCACCCCACAACAGTCCCCGGTGTGTGATGTTCCCCTTCCTGTGTCCATGTGTTCTCATTGTTCAATTCCTACCTATTAGTGATTCCATTTTCAAACAAACTTTTACATCACTGTTGCAAGATGGTTTTCTCAGATCTTCATGTTACATTTGTCTAGGTTCAAATCACGAAAAGACTCCAAGAATGCCCAAGAGAACTCCTGAGAAGCAATCCAGTTTCACTGGAGAAATATATTGACTGACCTGCTGGACTGGAGCTAAAGCTGACACAACTTGTCCTGGGGGTGGGGTAAAGGTGGATTTGCCTTTCACATGTAAACGAGTTATAGGAGAAATAGAAAGAAATGCAGCCATGCTTATTGTCTATTAGCAGGATCATCTATTAAAAACCACGTTTTGAAGAGAAAATTAAGATCTTAGATGTGTAAGTTGTAATAAGTCTCTACTATGGCAGAGAGAGAAAGTGTCCTGATTCCTAGCCCAAACAAATGTCCATATGAACAGCCTTTCTGTCCATAAAAAATTGAGTCTTATTGAGCACTATGTACTAGGCAGCACCTTAAATATTTTCTGCTAGATAGATGTATATAATTTTTTACAGCTTTTCATTCTAACTATATAAAAAATACCATTTAATAAAAAGTTTTCTCCAAAAATGTATTAATATGCAATGGAAAGTTATTTAATAAAGCTGTGGTAAATGGAAAGGACATGTTCTAGTGGTCCTCTGAGGTGATAATGGTAGGCATATGAGAATTGCTTCTATTAAATTTTGTATATTGTACTCATTAATAAATACTACTATGATTTTTAAAAATCAGGTGAAAATAACAAGGTATCCAATGACTCGTTGTTATAGTTATCATTTCCTTCACTCACCTCAAAAATGTGTGTGGGTTTTTTTTTTTTTTTTTGAGTACCTCCCCTTGTATCTGAAAAGGTCCCTAAAATGTCTCCCTTTTTTTAATGGCAGAATACCAATTTCACGCTAAATGCATGAGAGCCCTCATTCCATGGGAGCACATATCTATTAATCTTTCTTTTTTCCCCCGTCTTTCATTTTAAACAGTAGGTTTATTCTATGTTAGATTTTCTTTCCAAAGCTTTACAGATTTATTCTTTAATTATATATGTGTTGATTATGCTTACAATTATACTTGATATTATATTTCTCTATCTGGCTCAGAGAGACTGCTAATGAAGCAACTTTGTAGTAAAAAAAAATACAAATGGAAAGCAAAATTGTTTTCTGAACTCATTTGCAAGTGATGGTGCTGAGAATGCATATTTTTGCATCTCCTTCCAGTGATTTTTTAAGGCCCTCAATAATCATACATGTTTTATATTTAAGATGGTAGCCTGGGAAGACTGGAGTTATGTTATACTACAATAATGGTCTCATTGTTACTTTACCTTTGCTGCCGTTTCTTTCTATTTCATACTAGAGAGCTCCATCAGCATTTTTGCAATGCTGTTCAGCTGATAACTGAATTGTAGAGTGACTGTGTAACAGGACAGTTGGCACTTAGTCCTAATGAATAAAGCGGAATGTGGCCCTGTCTTTTTTCTCCCTTAAGGGTCAGTATGCAATACCCACACAATAGTGTCAGTCATTTTCCCTAAGAGGAAAGGTGAACATAAATTTGTTCTGAGGTCCTAGTTATTGCAATAGAAAAATCTAATTTGTGAGGTGGAATGCAGAGCAGAATTATTCAGGTAAGACTGAATGAAAATGAAGAGAAAAGGTGATCTCTTTATTCCAAATTTGGAGCTTCTAAACTCTTTTTACTCTACAGATATTGACTTTTTTTTTTTTTTTTTTTTTTTTTTTTTGAGACGGAGTCTCGCTCTGTCTCCCAGGCTGGAGAGCAGTGGTGCGATCTCAGCTCACTGCAAGCTCCGCCTCCTGGGTTCACGCCATTCTCCTGCCTCAGCCTCCAGAGTAGCTGGGACTACAGGCGCCCGCCACCACACCTGTCTATTTATTTTTAATACCTTGATTCATTTCTTTGCCCCCTGCTGGATTAGGGAGAGAAACAACATAAAGCACTCAGAAAGAAAAATGGCTCTAGGAAGACAACCAGGCAACTATCAGAACAAAAAATGTCTACTCCCTTCATTACCTGTGTCCCTTTCCCAATTGAAAACAGTTGTCGTTTTAATCTTATTATCTGAGGTTCTGAGACACAGAGGTAGGCCCACTATAGGCAGCGGAACAAATATTTCCTACAGCCCATTTTTGTGAATAAAGTTTTATTGGAACACATCTACTATCTGCGTCCATTGGTTTATGTATCGGCAATTGGCTGCTTTTGTGCTACATTGGCTAAGATGAATAGTTGTGGCAGAGACCGTTAAGACATGCAAAGCTGAAACAGTGACTGTTCAGTCTTTTACAGAAAAAGTTTTTCAAACTCTATTAGATCATTGATTATTACATTTGAACATAATTCACATAAATTCCATTATATAGACAAATTCGTTTTAAAGAACAAAGTATATAAGGTACTTTATAAAGTCAAAAAATCCTTTGAATTTTAAATGCAGAAATCCTGGAGGGAGGTATTTCATCTGTAGAATTGATTGAAGAAGACCAAATAATGTAAACATTCCGTAAACTGTGCGATACAAGAAAAACATACATCATTTTATGGTTAGGGCTCTTCCATTAGCAGCAATTTTATAAGTGTGCATCATTAGGTCATGGTTGCATGTGTTATAACACAAATAAATGTAATTATTCCAAATCAGCAGTAACCTGATTACACTAGGATCCAACACAAAGTTGTTTAAGTTAGAACTCAGTAACTAAATTCAGAAATAGCTGTCATTTCACTTAAAAACTATATAATTAATGTAAATTCGATCAATCATCCATAATTTATAAATTAAACTCATGTATTAACATTGTACTCATAGTAAAACATCTATGAGTAGAGGAAAATCATAAAATGACAGAATACTTGAATGAGATTTTACAACAGCAAAAACAATAAACAATCAAAATAAAAACAAAAACCAAACAGGAAGAAAACTTTGGAAGAACACAATTTCTCTAGCATTGTATGACTTACACTTACTGCTTGCAAACCCTAGACTGTACATTGGAACTCTCTCAACTACTGCATTCTTCTTATCATATGGTTGTAATATAGTATTTTAGCTGAAGGCCTGGACCACAAACTGAAAGGAACATGTGAACTTATCCTGCCCTCAATACTCTAAACATCACAAGACAAATAGTTATTTATTTTCTTCTTGAAGAGTCAATTTTGACCAACCATGTGACACTGTGTCAACTCTTTAACCTCCTTGTTTCAGTTTCTTCATTAATGAAGAAAAGCAGTGCTAATTCAAGAAATTAATGTAAGCATCAACTGAGAGTATGCTGGCAAGTGTTTATATAATCTTCCCTGCTGTTCCACAAAGGTAATTGAAAGTGTTATTACATTTGTTTTAGTTAAAGAAATATACATATTAAGATGCTTATTTTTCTTTTTGACTATTTCATCCACATATTTGCTACCTGTATTAATTTTCATTGCTAGGCTAAGAAATTACACACATGTAGTGACTTAACATCAATTTATTATCTTACAGTTCTGCAGTACAGAAGTCCTAACATCAAGGTGTTGACAGGGTTTCTTCTTCCATTTCAGTCTGGAGGCTCTTTGAGGAAAATTCATTTCCTTGCTGTTTTATAAAAAGTCCTTACATGCAAAGTGGCCTCTTAATGCATGAAGATAGGCTATTGAAGAAGAAAGAGACAAGTGTGGAGGCTAAAGTAAGTCCATTTAGTCTTCCCAGCATAGTTATAGTGATTATTCAAAAACATAAATATGATCCAATCACTCTAATTCTTATAATCTTTCAATACTTCTCTCTGGTCTCAGTAAACTGTTTGAGCTCTTTGGCTTGGTGCACAAGGTCCTTATGAATCAGTCCTGAGCCAGCTCTTGAGGTTAATGCTCTTGTCACCCTCCCTCACCCACAAACCACACATTCACTGTTCTATCACAGTGAACTTCATGTAGTTCTTCCAGTGTGCCATGCCCTCTTCTTTCCAGGCTTTTCTACAGGATGCTCACTTTATCTGAACTATCCTTCCTCTACCACCCTTTCATCTGGCTGCCTGGGAATCAACTCAGCTTTTCCTTGGAAAAGCCATTCCAGACTTTTCTTCGTTTTGCAAGTTGACTCTCCTTTGTACTCCACTAGATCCGTACATAAATATATCTTAACGTTATCTTTGCTTAGGAGACTTTTCTTTGCAAGTAATAGAAAGCCTGACACAAACTGACTTTAACAATGAAGCAATGTGTTATTTCACACAGCCACAAAGTATGCCATTATCAAGGTTCTGGTTTCCTCTCCGCAAAAGAATGTGTTTTTTTGCACGCTTTATTGTGTTAGATTTATTTTCTATATGCCAAATAAGCCAAGGTAACTGCAAGAAATAATTGGAGCAAAATGTCCCCTTATTCAATTCTAAAGGGTGAAAGAGAAAGCCTTTCCACAATTATTTTTATTGAACCAACTGGACCAATGACAGTTGCCAGAAGAGAGCTATAATCTCACAACTAGATTCATTTCTAAATCAGGAAGGAATAGGGTTACTTAACTCAACTTAGGCCAGGTTCTCAATAGTAACGGTATTGACATTTTGAACCAGATAATTCCTTATTCTGTAAATTGTAGGCTACTTAGCAACATCCTTGTCCTCTACTCACTAGATGGCATCCCCCAAGTTGTAGCAACGAACAATGTCTTCAGACATTGCCAAATATGTCCTAGAGGGCAAAATCAGTCGCATTTTTAGAGCTACTGGCTTAGAATAATGAAGTCATATTTCCAGAGCCATGGCTTCATGAAGAAGTTGTGGATAATTAAAGAGAATTAAGGGTCTATTTAGAAGAGAAAGGAAAGAATGGATGTCAGGTGGGCAATCTACAGTATCCATTAACTGTATTATATTTACTTTGTCTTTGTCCTCTGCTAGGAAGGACATTTCTGGAAGCTTTGTTTTGTTTCTTGCTTTTCTTATCCCTAGTAACTGGCATATATTATGGTCTTAATACATTTTTATTAAATTGATATATGAATTATGCATTGAAGAAGGGAATTCATTAATGCTTTTTCACTGCTATCCCACAAGTATTTAACATAGATTCTACAAGAATCCATGCTTTTGGTGGGAAAAATGCTTTCTGATTTGTAGCTAAAGATAAAGAAGACACATTTTTTTCCATCTGCTGTGAAGATGATAGAGCAGTGAAGTAGAAGTGAGGGGTGAAGAAGAGGTAAGTTTACTATTGTTAAACATTGAAAACTTGTTGTCTAAATGAAGAAAGGGAGTACAATTAACATGATAGAGGCATAAACAAGAGAAAGCACCTGGTGAGTCAAGCCACTTGCTATTCGCTCTGAATAGAAAGCAAAAGTTGAAATTGTGCTTTGTAACACAATATGCCACTATTGATTTTTCCCTCTGAACAAGCCATTCTTAAATCATGTGCCCTAAGTCAAAGCTTGCCTGTATTTGGCACATTGGAATACATTACTAATTTATTCATTTAAACCTTGGACTTCATGGAAACATAACCAATAAACTATGAATCAACTTTTCACTGGAGATTCACATGGATTTTTCTCTTCACCCACTTGGTTTGTTTAGTAATAAGATAATTAGTTTCCCAACCTCTCAGGTTGTTGAATTTAATTAAAAGGTTAGTACATGACAAAGCAAACTATAATTTTATAATTATTTACACTTATGCTACAAATATTAGCTCTGCAGGAGTGTTCAGAAAAATTTAAATGCATTGTAATTTCAAAGAATTTTATGTACATTAATGAGATGTTAAGACTAAATTATATTTTAATTTATTCTAATATTTGACTTTCACGAAATTCCACAAAATGATGTAATTCCATTATTATTGACCAAGTTCCCCTCTTGAAACCTGAAGACACGTTGACCTTCCTTCTAACTCTCTCTCTGGATCATTATTTAGGTGCCAAGCAATTTGTCGCAGCCTGAGTTTCCGCTTTCATTTAATAACTGAAACCTAAATGTTACCATCAAAACACAGTGGTCTGTTGCGCAGTGATCCATATGAGAACAGTGAACTTACGTCTCCGTAAATTTGTTAGTCATCTATGAGGGAAAGCAATGCTGACCTCGTAATGTCAAATCCCATTTAGAGGTGGTGAATAGGTTGGATGAGGTACTTGATGTCTTTTGAGCTGTGTTAAGAAATACACTTCAGTGTAGGAGGATGAAAGCCTTGGTAAATTAATGTGGAGATTGTGGCCTATCCAAATAATTTATAGTAGAATCCCATCTTCCAGAAGAAAAGAATGTAGTTAATAAACGTTCTGACTCAAGTAAACAGTTTCAGGCAACACATGCTTTTCAGTAAGTACTTGAAGTACCAACATTGACCTTCCACCTTCACAGACCTCTACCTGTGTCTTTTTTCTACAATTTTATTCGTAAGAAACTGTTTATTGCTTTTGCCACAAGCAGAAATTTCAAGCTCATTGGAAGGGCATAACCTGGTTTTTAAGATTACATGTCTGGACTGATGAATTGGATTACATAGTTACTTTCTAGTTACTTCCAGTCTGTTGTCGGTTTCTTTAAAAGTTACAATTATCAAATCAAAAACAAATTATTTAGATAAAATTATTTTTAGGGATTTTGACATTTTAATGCCAAAGAATCAAAGAATAAAATGAGATTTAGCTTGAACTTCTTAATTAATTGCCAGGTTTTTTTCTTGGCATTTACGTCAGTACATGCCCCCCCTTCTTCCAGGGGAGAGAGGATATTTCCCCAAATCGGAACCACCATGTCTTCCAAAGCAGAAATTTCAAGAGAGCTACATTATTTCATGGTGACCACATTGAACACATCTACGCAATAGCTAATTTAAAGAAAGAAACAATGCATGTATAAATATTGGTTGATTGGGTTTCTGTACTGACAATCTAAATTCAAAATTTCTGCTTCCAGTGCCTTAAGGTGCTCATAATTTATCCCTTGGATAATGGCAGTAACTTGCCTTCTATTTCTTCTTCCTCCAAGTTTCACTTAAATTTTCTGTAATTGACATTGTGATTTGTAAATCAACTTCTACTACCTCTTGCTCGAAAGCTTCCTGAGATTTGACAATGGCTTTGATAGCTTTAGTTAATGTTCAAACTGTTTATGATGACAAACAGGACCCTTTCTGACATGAATTCTGGTCCCTCTTTGCCTCTCCTCATGTCATCAGTGGTCAAACTGAAGCATTTTTCTTCCTCCTAATTTGCCTTGCTCATCCATGCCCCTGTGCCTTTGTTCCCATTGTTTTGTTGGTGTAAATGAGATTCTCTTAACTATTGTGATCTAATAATCAGATCAAGTGTCCTTCCAAATCCCTATGTGGGCCTCTTAGAGATGCAAAACATTTACTGGGTACACACATTTCTTGTGAGGTATTGTGATGATTGATTTTGCATTCCTTCTAGCCCATTAGTCAATGAGCTACTCGGGGGGTCTGGCCATGTATGGCCAATGCTGGGTCAGTGTTTTTTAAGTAAAGAAATCAATAAACCGTGAGATAATGGTTGTGTGTTCTCCTTGGGTGCTTTTCTTTTCCATGATATTTCCCTAATCAGTGAGAAGCCACACAATTGCATTTAGGAAATTTGAGTTCTTACAGCAGAAATGCTTATTTCACTGTTTATTTTTTAGCTTCAATATAGACTCTTAAAAATAATGATCTAACATAACTGTTATAGAAAATATTTATAATTCCTTTATTGAATATAATAGAGGTTAGGACATTTTGATCTCCACACTTTTGTGTCTTGTAATGTGTATCACCTATTGCTTTTTACTGCCACATATCTTACTGTGTATTGTTTAAGGAGAAATTAGTTCTAAAATATTTTGTTCACATTTAGTTTTGTAGTATCTTTTTCTCTATTCTTTAAGCTTGTAAGAATGGTGTGCATTGCAGTTTAATTGGTGCCATTAATGCTTTTTTTGGCGAAAGGCATCCATTTTTCCCTCTGACATATCCCTTTCTAGAGCTCCAAAGATTCTAGGGAGTCCAGCCCGTGTCACACTGCTTCTTATAGCAGAAACTGCGTTTGCTAAATCAATAAATATTAAACAAATAAGTAAGAAATGTTTTAAGGAAAGCCTGACAGAGTTTCCACCAAAACAGACTGGAAAGACATTAGACGAGGAGATAAACTGCATCATTCCTAGACCCTGAAATTGAGAGACAGGACTGGCTGGATTTCCTAAGCCTAAATGGGGAAGGTGACTGCACCTACCTTTAAACACGGGACTTGTAACTCAGCTCACACCCAACCAATCAGGTAGTAAAGAGGGCTCACTAAAAATACAAATTAGGCTAAAATCAGGAGGTAAAGAAATAGTCAAATCATATATCGCCTGAGAACACAGAGGGAGGGAAAATGATTTCGATATAAACCCCAGGCATTTGGGCCGGGAGTGGGCAACCGCCTTTGGGTCCCCTCCCATTATATGGGAGCTCTGTTTTCACTCTATTAAATCTTGCAACTGCACACTCTTCTGGTCCGTGTTTGTTATGGCTGCAGCTGAGCTTTTGCTCGCCGTCCACCCCTGCTGAACGCCACTGTTGCAGATCCGCTGCTGGCTTCCACCCTTCTGGATCCGGCAGGGTGTCCGCTGCGCTCCTGATCCAGTGAGGCGCCCACTGCTGCTCCCTATGGGACTAAAGGCTCACCATTGTTTCTGCACGGCTGAGTGCCTGGGTTAGTCCTAATCGAGCTGAACACTAGTCGCTGGGTTCCACGGTTCTCTTCCGTGACCCACGGCTTCTAATAGAGCTATAACACTCACTGCATGGCCCAGGGTTCCATTCTTTGGAATCCATGAGGCCAAGAACCCCAGGTCAGAGAACAAAAGGCTTGCTGCCATCTTGGGAGTGGCCGCCACCATCTTGGGAGCTCTAAGAACAAAGACCCACCGGTAACAAAATGATAGCATGTAAGTAACCAGAGTTAGGCTTGGAAGGTGCACAGAAAGGGTTGATGGGGCGTGCACATTTTTTATTTTATTTTATTTTATTTTTTTTATTTTTTTTGAGACAGAGTCTGGCTCTGTCACCCCAGGCTGGAGTGCAGTGGCGTGATCTCGGCTCACTTCAATCCCTGCCTGCTGGGCTCAAGTGATTCTTCTGCCTCAGCCTCCTGAATAGCTGGCATTATAGGTCCATGCCACCATGCCTGGCTAATTTTTTCTATTTTTAGTAAAGATGGAGTTTCACAGTGTTGGCCAGGTTGGTCTCCAATTCCTGGCCTCAAGTGATCCACCCGCCTTGGCCTCCCAGAGTGTTGGGATCACATGTGTGAGCCACTGCGCTGAGCCCCAGGTATGAACTTTGACGAACTTGGAGCTGATACTTGAAAGTGACTGGCTTGGAAAAGTCCAGTTGTAGTGGTGGGGGGAAAGGGCGGTAGCACTGGAGAGACAGAAGGTAACCTTAAGAAATTAGTAAATGTTGGAGTGAAGTACTGATACAATCTACAACATAGAGGAAACTTGTAAACTTGTGCTCGGTGAAAAGCCAATCATGAAAGACCATAAAAGATTATTAGGATTAATGTCCAGAATAGGCAAATCTACAGAGAGAGCAAGTAGATTAGTATTTGCCTAGGAGTGTGGAGGAGGAGAACACAGAGAAAATGGGGAGTGAGGGATAACAGGTACAAAGTTTCTTTTTTGGACACAAAATTAGACCGTGCTGATAATTGTACAACTCTGAATATACTAAAAATCTAAATTATAATTTCAGTGAGTAAATTTTATTCTATGAAAATTATATTTCAATAAATCCACTTTAAAAAGAGATTAGCAAATGTTACATGATTGCTCTTCTCATTGGTCCCATTTTGTCCTCCCTGGGTCTTTCTCAGCTACCTTGTTTCACCTCCTCGAAAAGGAGGCAGGGGTTAATACTGGCAGGAACTCTCTGAGCATCTTTCCCTGGAAATGACTAAAAATAATAAAATGTACTTGTTTTATAATAAAATGCAGCAATAGGAAAGCATAAATACATGCCTCAACATGTGAGATTGGTAACTTCTGACTTCTCCCCTTTTATGCTTTATTGTCTAGGGAGAGATCTCAGAAAGAGTTTGAGGGAGGTGTTTTGTCCTACTGTTACTTGGTTTCCCATGATTTTAAGATTCAGGCATTATAACTTCAGTTATTACAGAAGGATTTTATGTTTGCAATTTAAGCGCAAAGACCATTGGAAAGTGTGGGCACACTTACTTTCACTGCTTCGATAAATAGGCTCAGTAACTGTGATAACAAAGTGAACATTGGAGCACAGGCATTTATATCCTGTTTATCTCAAGCACAGAGCCAATCTGGAACTCTAATTCTTTTAGAAGATGATAAATGTTTTCTGCCAGTCTTTCCAACTGAACAAACTCTGTTTGATTGGTATTAATCACTTCTGGCAGGCGATGTTCAAGCCTGCTAGCTGCAATCTAGGTGAAAAGCTTGTCATCAGTATCACATAATGAAGTGAAAGAGTATGGGACAAAGAGAAGAAATATTTCCATTTACTTAGTCATCAGAGTAACTGTCAAGTTAAATAAGATATGAACTATCTGTTTTCAAATGAACAGTATAAAATGCCTATCTTTAATAAAATTAAATTTTCCTTCATTTTTTATTTAAAAATCAGAAATTAACACAAATAATAACCTATGAATTGTTTATAGTAGAAGGAGATCCTTCATTGTCTTAAATTCCTGTGGCTTCAGAAATTTTTTCTGAAATCATATTTTGCCATAAGCAAGCCCATATATATATAAGGAACATGGGAAAAAAGGCCCTACTCAGAGCTAGGGTAATCAGGACAATACAGTCTGAGGATTAAGGAAAAATTAAAAGTCAAAAAAAGTGTATCCTAGCTCAGAAACGTCTCATCATAATTTGACTTTTTTTTTCCACTTTGCAATGTCATATCTCCTGAAAAGTCATCAGTTTAAAATTTCCCATTGAAGTTTCTCTAGGCATAGTGGGTAGAACTCTCTTCCATTCACTTCTTAAAGTGATTAATTCAGATTGTTATCCTCCTAATACCTAGATAACAATAGCTAAATTGGGAGAATTAGTTTGTCTCCTGGAGCAAAACTCAGACAGAAATTGTTTCCTCTTATTTTAAAAATCAACTTAATTTTTCCTCACTTTGTGAGAAAATTTATATACATTATCCTTTACGTTAATGATCACTTAAATTGTGTGTTAAAAGTGACTTCAATACTCACATTTCCATTGGTATCTTGAGAGAGATGAACAGTTACTAAAAAGAAAGTGGTTTATTAATGTCGAATGGACACCTCCACTATTTCAATAATTAGTTAACTGTATTAATTATTGAGTTGCACCTTGACACTGTCACTCACATTTGCAGGTTAACCAAATTCAGTCTTTTTGAAGTCGTTTATTTCAAAGTGAATGAGGAATCTAAGGTGAGCCATCTATGGAGAAGGAACACACTCTGTATTTTGAGAATAGGGTAGTGGATTCAGCAGTTAAATTCAACCTACTCTGTAGAGAACACCAAGGTTACCCTTATAGCACTAACTAATTTTTAAATAAGTGTCTGAAATTTTTAATGTTAAATGAGAAACTAAAAATAATCTAAGAAACTAGATTTCACTTCTGGTAGAAAAGATAGCATTTGTTATTTTAAGTATTCTACTTCTGCTTATGTCTAACCTAGTGCATTTCAACATGTCTAGATCAGTTTTGTGTGTTTTTAATATTTTTATTCTTGTGTCTTTTAAACTGGGCTTAAAAATGGTACTATTGCTTTCCAACAGCTGATGTGATTATCCAAGGTTACAAAATATTTGATTAGCATTTGATTATTTAATAATTTAAGTTAAATTTAACAGAATTGATATGCTTGTTTTCTCTATTAGTAACCTTAGAAATATATTAGAAGCAAGAGCTTCGCAAGATGTCTTTTTAAAGATGTCAACTCTCAGCCATGTGACTTTCCTCTTATCATCATCTTGTAGTGGACGACACTTTTCCCTTCTGTCTCTAACTCCCAGATAGTCACCGACACCATCACTCAAGACATCTTCTTCCCAGCCCTGAAGTGCTGATGACCCACTTTTATCCTGTGAAACTGATAAAGGCAATTCTTAAGCCTTCAAATATCTCAGGATTCTCAGTTCATACACTTGCATTGCTCTATGCTATAAAACAATTTACCTGGTAGAGTGGTACTTTTGAATTCAATTATTTGTAATCAAAGGTTTGGATCTAGATTGATTTACACAAGTATTTCCAAGGAGTATGGGAAAGTTTTGACAGATGTCAGAGACATTGCTTTTGAAAGACCCTTAAAATGGCTATGGGGACAGTTAGGGGTGTGGAATAATTGGCACATTATTGCCACAGTTAATGGTAGAATCCAGTCATAAACAAGAGGTCTGGGATTGTGGGGAAAAGAGATTATTATACCACATTTGCACACCCAAAACATATTCAAGTGGGAAGTGCAGCAACAAGACTGTAAACACACAGCTCAGTGCCCTTCCTGAACACTTGAACTGAGTTCCATGAAAAGCAAGAATTACCTTTTAATCATACAACTTATGAGGTTGAAAAAGATGGTCTTAATAAATGTGTCAGTTTAAAGCAGTCCTATTGTCTTGTTAATCTATTTTATTTTGGAACTAATAGAGATCTATAATTTTAAAAAAGCATCATGAAATAATAAGCATGAGATGTCTTACTTTGATAACTAGATTGTTGCGTGTTATTATATTAAATGTTTTATTGGCTTCTTCAATATTAGACATTCCTGGGTACAATGAACACTGATCAGGCCAGTATTTAAATTCAATTTATATACATGATACTCAATTCTTGTATAATAATTTGTATCTGTGTTTAGTGGTTTATAATTTTTGTTGTTGCATTTTCCTTACAAGGTTATGGGAAGAAAACTATGTCTGTGGTTGCCTTTAAAAAAAAAAAAGAACAAAGTTGGTAAACCTATTCTTCTCTATTTTTTGAAAAAGTTACAACATTCAAAAGTGGTGATGCTAATTAAAACAAAGGCATTTGTAGCTGCAAGTCATGAACCAATGGTACTTCTCCAATTCCTCATTTGGTTACATCATTTAAAAAAAATGTCCTTCAGGGGCTGGGCACTGTGACTCACCCTTGTAATCCCAGAACTTTGGGAGGCTGAGGCTGGCGGATCACCTGAGGTCAGGAGTTTGAGAACAGCCTGGCCAATACGGTGAAACCCAGTCTCTACTAAAAATGTAAAAGGTTAGCAGGGCATGGTGGCAGGTGCCTGTAATCCCAGCTACGCAGAGGCTGAGGCAGAAGAATCGCTTGAACCCTGAAGGCAGAGGTTGCAATGAACTGAGATCGCACCACTGCACTCCAGCCTGGGTGACAGATCGAGACTCTGTCTCAGATAAATAAATATAAAAAATGTCCTTTGGTTATTACATTTTCCAGAGACTTCCTCCTTAACTTCTGTTTTATAATGACTACCTTTGTATCTCCTTTCCTACTACCAATGTTTAATTTTATCATAACATTTATCAAGTTTTGGGCTCTTGTAGAACAGAGGTCTTGTTTTATTTTTCTCTGAATTATTTGTGCTTTTCATGATTCCTGGTGTATGATGAATCTTGCATAAATATGTGTTTAATGAAGAATTACTTGGCCTCTGTCCTCAGTACATTGAACATTGGAAATGAAAACGCACGCACTTGGCGCACACAGACAAACACTTACCCCATGCATGCTTCCACAACTCAGGTAAAGAGAGCACCACTGAGGAATCTTCACCTTGATTTAAGCTACTGCTAGCCTGCCAAGCTAAGTCAATAGCACATATGCTTCCTGGTCACATAGTCTAAACTAATAGCTTTCAAATGCCTGTTGTCTTCTATTTTATAATTTTTAAACTTTTTGTTTCTCATTTTTAAAATTTTTATTTATGTATTTATTTTATTTCATTGTTTAATTTTTTTGTGGGTAATAGTAGGTGTATATGTTTATGGGGTACATGAGATGTTTTGATACAGGTGTGCAATGTGAAATAAGCACATCATGGAGAATGGGGTATCCATCCCTTCAAGCATTTATCCTTTGAGTTACAAACAATCCAATTACATTTTTAAACAAATGCCAAACAGGCATATGAAAAAGTGCTCAACATCACCGATCATCAGAGAAATGAAAATCAAAACTATGAGATATCATCTCATCCCAGTTAAAATGGCTTATATCCAAAAGACATGGCAATAACAAATGCTGGTGAGGATGTGAAAAAGGGAACCCTTGTACACTGTTGTGGGAATGTAAATTAGTAAAACCACTATGGAGGAGATTCCTCAAAATCGAAACATTTTATTTTTTTGAGTCTGGGTTTCATTCTGTCACCTAGGCTAGAGTGCAATATTCTGATCATAGCTTACTGCAACATTGTACTCCTGGGCTCAAGCTAACCGCCTCCCTCAGCCTCCCAAGTCACTAGATTACAGGTGTGCATCACTATGCCTAGCAAATTTTTTTAATTTTTTGTACAGACGGGGTCTTGCTCTGTTGCCCAAGCTGGTCTTGAACTCCTGACCTCAAACATTCCCCCGGCTTCAGCCTTCAAAAGTGCTGAGATTACAGACCTGAGACATCACAACTGGCCTACTTCTTAAGGCTAAAATCTCCTGTACATTTTTTTTCCCCACAGGAAGTGCTTTTTATATGCCCAATGAATATTTATGGTTAATTAATTAATTTTAAAAGATGTTAATTCAAGTTACTAATATAACAGTGTACTGTTTAAATTTTTATTTGCTAAATAGTTCGCAAAGTGTACAATACAGCTTAAATTTTAACAAACACTTCAAAATATAAAACCTTTAAGTCATCTTTGATCTTTTATTCTCCATCTCCTTCCCCCCACCTCCTTTGCTACATCTTACCAACCACTTCCAATCAATATAACAATTTGAATTCTGAAATGCTTCTTGATAGTATAATTTATCATTCATTTCTGGAATATCTACTATATTTAACACATTGGTTACATTTGGGGGGAAATTTCCCTCCTTTGTTTGCTGTCTTTATCAGGTAGAAGTAAAAATATTCAGCTTTCCTCACCTTCTTTGTATTCAGGACCTTGTCTATAACAAATAAATAGACTTGAGGGTCTGATTAAAAACTAAGCAAACTGAGTTAGGAGGCCCATATAGAATTCTTTGTATTGGTTATGAGTGATAGCAGAAGTGCTTGGTAATAATTGGAAGGTCAAGATCCTAATAACAACAACAAACCAACAAAACAAAACAAAATTAAGGTCAATATACTGGCAAACAGGTAGTGGCGGCATTACACTTGAATCTGGCAAGAATGCTTGCTGTATACCACCTACCGCTTGGTGGATATAGTGGGAGAGGTGTGTTTTGTAATCAAGTAGCCTAGCTTTAAAATGCAATTTAAAACTTTGTTTCCTCTCAACTCAGAATGTAGCCTTGAAATGTACTTTAAAACTGTGTTTCTCTTCCTTTCCTACCAGACACTCCCTTGTGCCATGCATGCTTATCTGACTATGTGCATCCTTAGAAATTCCAAGGGCTAATTTTGAAATAAACCAGGCACGGAGGCTCAGGTGTGGAATCCTCTCGCTTAAGGGGAGTCAGAAACAATTAGGTGACCACCACTATGCTAAGGTCAAGATGATGCCAACCAGACCTCCAGATGTGTAATTACTCAAGTTAGCCATTGGAAGAAGACACACAGTCTCTGCACCCTGAAACACTCATGTATGTTTCTCACATCAAGTTTCCCTTTTAAACACCATCACTCAGCCCAAAAATTTGAAATGGTTTTGTAGAAGCATGAGCCTGGCCATTCCTCAACTGCCAGCCTTTGATTAATAAGCTGCTTTCCTTCCACCACACCTAGTTTCTTATGTATTCAGCTTCTCAGATGGCGAGCAGCTGGACTTGTGTTTGGCTACATTTTCTTATCAAGTTAATTTGGTAGCCAGGTTTGTAGCATTGTTACCAGAACCCCAGCTGGGAACCTGTGAACAGTTATCTAGCTTTCTCTGTAGTTCTTTGAACTACTTAATATTCTTTTAATAATCTCATGTTCTGCTTAAGCTGCCAGTCAGCTTTTGTACTTGCAATATTGAACACATACTAAGAGCTCCTAATACAATCATTTTTCCCCTCTCTGCTAATGATCAGGTCCTTATTACTCTTAATTATCTTCTGACTGATCTTCTCTCAATGATCGTCCTGTTCTGCAATAAATCATATCAGCAAATTTTCTAAATATGAAACTTATGCTAATGTTTTTTGATTTAAGATATCTGTTACAATTACAGTATGATATAGCTGACCTATTTTAATCACTTCACTAAAACAATCTTTTTTTTCTTGTATTTGTTGTGAAAATCAACTTGGAACAAATATTGTTGGTCTTTTGGTTGTAAAAACATGCAGGCAATAAAAGATTAATGTTAAAAAAACAATAATTGAGAGTTCTTTTTTTTTACAGTGGATCTCTTTTCAAAACAAAAGTAGACAGGGAGAAACTTGGGGAATTTGGTCTGGCATGATCAAGGGCTCAGCCCTCCATCTTCTGGATTTAAAACCTGACCTTGTCTTTGTGTCACAATTTATTAAAATGATGAATGCCAAAATAGAAAAAGATGGCAAGAGACTGATCTTAAAAAGCAGAATGCTAATTTCTTAGTTTAAATGAGAAATATAAGTGCCAAGGGAAGAAAAAATAGCTGTGGCTTGCAGACCAGCATATCCACTCCATTTAGGGAAACTTCATGGAAAGCCAATTGACAGAATGTTGCTGTCTGAGCTGGAAATCAGAGGAAGACCACCCATCGTAATAATTTAAAGGTTTCCTGGTCCCAGACTCTGATATTCACATCTCTGCTGACAGACAGATTGCCACAAAGATTGAACACTTGACTTCGTCTGAAAGCATACCGTCTTCCCAGATGGTGCTCGGAGGTGCCCTACTTTTCACCTGGGAATGGCATTTCTTTGTGTTCATTTTTATCCTATCTCCTTTAGGTGATGTTGGCTATCTCAGTTAGGATCCACGATCTGTTGATTTTCTAGTTTAACTCTCAGAGGACATGTTATATACTCTTCAGTTTTAGTTTGTTTCCGTATTCGCTAAAGGGGATTTGCAGGCTTATGTTTAGTGTTATAATAGCTGCTTTTGTAATGTTGTGTACCTCAGTGTAAATATGTTTTTATTGTTAATCATTGCATTCATGTCATTGTATAGTTTATTAGAAGTTATTAATTAGGCGGGTGCGATGGGTCATGCCTGTAATCCCAGCACTTTGGGAGGCCGAGGCGGGTGGATCACCTGTGGTCAGGAGTTGCTGACCAGCCTGGTCAACATGGTGAAACCCCATCTCTACTAAAAATACAAAAAATTAGCCAGGCTTGGTGGCACACGCCTGTAATCCCAGCTACTCGGAAGGCTGAGGCAGGAGAATCGCTCGATTCCAGGAAGCGGAGGTTGCAGTCAGCCGAGATTGCGCCACTGCACTACAGCCTGGGCAACAAGAGCTAAACTCTGTCTCAAAAAAAAAAAAAAAAAAAAAAAAAATTAGAAGATAATCATACTGAAATGGGAAAAGTTCCCTTGTCCCCGTCCCAGGGCCTGTGACGGGGGAGTGGCTTGCTTCTTCCGTGCCCCGCTGCTCAAACCTCTAGGGGAGCACACAGACATGCAGGGTGTGGGGCTCCAACCCCAGGGCAGTGCCTAGTGTGGATGTTTACAGCTCCTGAAGCCCCAGTGGGCGTGTGCTACCGTGTGCTCTTTTAGCTTTGCGGTCTATAGGTGGCTTGCGTTAACCAGTTCAATTAGACCCTCCACCTTGTCACAAGGACAGAGTGCTTTCTGTATCCCGCGTTCTTGCCTTGGTGTACCGGAAGAATCAGATCACACCTGGGCTTGGAGAATGAGTGCAAGGTTTTATTGAGGGGAGACAGCTCTCAGCAGATGGGAGAAGCCCGGAAAGGGGATGGAGCGGGAAGGTCTTCCCCTGGAGTCAGCCACTTAGCGACCTGGGCTCTCCTCCGACTGCCCCAGCCAAACTCTGTCGTTCTGCTTCTGCCTGTCGGTGGCCTGCTGCTATGCTAGTGCCTGTTGGTACGTCCCTGTTGACATCCAGCCGAGCCTGTTGACATCCAGCCGAGCCTGTTGACATCCAGCCACCCCTGTATTCCTCCGCTGGTGTGCTACTCTCCACGTCCGGCAACCTGTGTATCTACCTGCTAGGGTCTAAGGGTTATTATAGGCACAGGATGGGGGCGTGGCAGGTCAGGGTGGTCTTGGAAAATGCAACATTTGGGCAGGAAAACAAAAATGCCTGTCCTCACCTAGGTCCGTGGAGGTGGAGCCCTAGCCAGGGACCATGCCCTCCTCTCCCCAGCGCTTCCACTACTCCCTTCAGTATCGTTTAACCGGACCACACTCTTCCCTTCCCAGCACTTTCTTTCCACATCAATACATAACATACCTATGTATGAAAAAAAAAATCAAGCAGCTTTTGGACTCTCTTATTTTTTGTGCTTTTAGTTTCTAGTGCTAACTAAATAATTCTGAAATGTCTTTCTTTAGGAAAGGTGGAAACTGATTTTTATTATGTTTCTTCCTTTCCTACATCACCAGATTCAAGAGAAATTTGATGAGCATTTTCATATATATTACCAAATTAAATTATCATAAACATTGTTAGAGGTAAACAGAATCCTTGTTTAAAGATGCAGCAACCGATACTAGGTAATTGGCCCAAGGACAAACTGCTTGTATATACCTGGTACTTTTGATCCTTTCAGTATCCTTTGATTTGTAATTTGAAGCTCCATCATTAATAACTCCGCATTTTCAAACTCCATATCCTATTTCACAGGCTCAAGTGTATCATCTTTATTTTTTTGTTTCTGCCAGGAAGATTTTCCTTCATCATTAATTCTTGACTCTATTCCATCTACCTTCTAGGTGTTTAGTCCTTCTGTAATATTTACAATACCAGCCCAGTATTTTACTAACTCACTCAATCTATTTCTTTTCCCTATCAATCATTTCTTATTCTTAAATTATTTTAAAATATATTATTTCTTCCATGTCTGTTTCAGAGATTATTACCTATATAGTGAAAATGTTAGGCTTCTGCTCACTCACTTTCTCATTTAGTATTTGTTTCTTTCTGATTACTATTTTTAAAAACTTATACCCATATAGAAAATTTGGAAGCTAGTATTGTTTGTTTCTGATTACTATTTTTAAAAACTAATACCCATATAGAAAATTTGGAAGCTACAGGAAACTTCATTAAAGGAGAAAAAAATGGCCATAATTCCACTGTACAAAGATAAAAACAAATGAAAGAAACCACAAAACACCTTTTCACCCAGATGCAGCATTTCTCAGTTCTTTGTATTAAAAAAAAAGTTAATTTAATTTTTTCCTCCAGAGATTAAAGACTTCTTCTAAAAGACCAGTTTATAAACAGCCATCATATTCTCCTATGCACCAAAACTTTCCTTCTCTAACATCACTTAAAAACACAGATGAAAATTGAGACTTCTAAGTTCTGTTCCACCAGGTTGGCCATACCTTGACAGCAACATTGTCTAGGCACATTAATTGACACAATCCAGTGGCATTAAAATGAAAGATTTTTGCTTATGTTTTTCCAAGTAAATGTCTGTGTTTGAATAGTAGCCTTACCATAGGATACTAGAAGTAATAATCTTTGAATCAAGATATAATAACATAACTTATTTTCTCTTTGCACTTATTTATTCATTTTACAGGTTAATTTCAGGAACAGCCTACCTCTACTATTAAATAACACTTCCTGGAAGTCATTCAATCTAAATTTTACTAGGTTTGACTTTGGAGAAGACTTTATTTAATGGTCTGAAAACAAAGACTGGAGTTGAAGACTTTAAGCCCTTGAGATCTTAAGAATTCTGACTTCTGTATAATTTCACGTATTTACTCAATGAATACTTATTGAGCAACAGTTTTGTGCTTGGCACTACTGTGGTGCGGGGTAATAAGATCAAACAGGGTTTTTTGTTTGTTTGTTTGAGAACTTGGTTACATCTGGGTAATCTGGATTTGGAAGCAAATGAAAAGAGTATTTTAGGTAAACCTTTCTCTTCCCCACCTCTTAGAAAGGAAAGTGTGACATGAAGTCTCTGTGTTTCTCAAATTGTTCATATTTGGGACTCATTATATTAAAATGAATGAATTTATTTGCTAATAAAGCAGATGATAAAAGTAGCTAAAATGACATTGTGAGCATACTACGGTCAGACATCCATATATCTTATATGAATAAGTCACTTAATTCTCAGAACAATCCCATTTTATAGATGATAAAAGTTAAGCACAGATAAATGAAATAGCTTGTCAAAGATCACACAGCCAAACCAGTTGTGGATTAGTCCGTTTTCATGGTGCTGATAAAGATTTACCCAAGACTGGTTAATTTACAAAAGAAGGAGATTTAATTGGACTTACAATTCCACATGGCTGGGGAAGCCTCACAATCATGGTGGAAGGCAAGGAGGAGCAAGTCACATCTTAACATGGATGGCAGCAAGCAAAGAGAGTTTGTGCAGGAAAACTCCCCCTTATAATAACCATCAGATCTCATGCAACTTACTCACTATCATGAGAACGGCATGGGAAAGATCTGCCCCCATTATTCAATTACCTCCTACCAGGTCCCCCCAACAACATGCATGTGTGAATTCAAGAGGAGATTTGGGTGGGGACAGAGCCAAAGCATATCATTAAGCCCCAGTCCCTCTCAAATCTCATGTCCTCACATTTCAAAAGCAATCATGCCTCCCAACAGTGCCCCAAAGTCTTAACTCATTTCAGCATTAACTCAAAAGTCCACAGTCCAAAATCTCGTTTGAGACAAGGCAAGTCCCTTCTGCCTATGGACCCGTAAAATCAAAAGCAAGTCAATTGCTTCCTAGATTCAATGAGGGTATAGGTATTCGATAAACACAGCCATTCCAAATGGGAGACATTGGCCAAAACAAAGGGGCTACAGGCCCCATGCAAGTCCAAAATCCAGCAGGGCAGTCAAATCTTAAAGCTCTAAAATGGTCTCCTTTGACTTCATGTCCTACATCCAAGTGACACTGATGCAAGAGGGGGGTTCCAATGGTGTTGGGCAGCTCCACCCCATGGCTTTGCAGGGTATAGCCCCCCTCTTGGCTGCTTTTATGGGCTGGCATTGAATGTCTGTGGCTTTTCCAGGTGCACAGTGCAAGCTGTTGGTGGATCTACCATTCTGGGATCTGGAGAATGGTGGCCCTCTTCTTACAACTCCACTAGGTGATGCCACAGTAGGGACACTGTGTGAGGGTTCTGACCCCACATTTTTCTTCTGCACTGCCCTAGCAGAGGTTCTCCATGAGGGTCTCGCCCCTGCAGCAAACTTTTTGCCTGGGCATCCAGGCTTTTCCATACAACTTCTGAAATCTAGTTGGAGGTTCCCACACCCCAATTCTTGACTTCTGTGCACCCACAGGCTCAACACCGCATGGATGCTGCCAAGGTTTGGGGCTCCCACCCTTTGAAGTAACAGGTCAAGCTGTACCTTGGCCCCTTTTAGTCATGGCTGGAGTGGCTGGGAACCAAGTCCCTAGATTGCACACAGCACAAGGACCCTGGGCCTGGCTCATGAAACTATTTCCTCCTAGGTCTCTGGGCCTGTGATGAGAGGGGCTGCTGTGAATACCTCTGACATGCTCTGGAGACGTTTTCCTCAGTGTCTTAAGGATTAACATGTGACTCCTGGTTATTTATGCAAATTTCTGCAGCCAGCTCAAATTTCTCCTCAGGAAATGGATTTTTCTTTTCTATCACATTGTCAGGCTGCACATTTTCTGTACTTCTATTCTCTGCTTTTCCTATAAAACTGAATGCCTTTAACAGCACCCAAGTCACCTCTTGAATGCTTTGCTGCTACAAATTTCTTCTGCCAGATAGCTCAAATCATCTCTCTGAAGTTCAAAGTTTCACAAATCTCTAGGGCAGGGGCAAAATGCCACCAGTCTTTTTGTTAAAACATAACAAGACTTACCTTTGCGCCAGTTCCCAGTGAGTTCCTCATCTCCATCTGAGACCACCTCAGCCTGGTGTTTATTGTCCGTATCACTATCAGGATTTGGTCAAAGCCATGCAACAAGTCTCTAGGAAGTTCCAACCTTTCCCATATTTTCCTTTCTTCTTCCTAGCCCTCCAAAGTGTTCCAATCTCTGCCTGTTACCTCTTCCAAAGTTGCTTTCACATTTTTGGGTATCTTTTCAGCAGCGCCCCACTCTACTGGTACCAATTCACCATATTTGTCTGTTTTCATGCTACTGATAAAGACATACCCAAGACTGGGCAATTTACAATAGAAAGAGGTTTAATTGGACTTACAGTTCCACGTGGTTGGGGAAGCCTCACAATCATGGTGGAAAGCAAGGAGGAGCAAGTCACATCTTATGTGGATGGCAGCAAGCAAAGACAGCTTGTGCAGGAAAACTCCCCTTTATAATAAACATCAGATCTCGTGAGACTTACTCAGTATCATGAGAACAGCATGGGAAAGATCTGCCCCCATGATTCATTTACCTCCCACTGGGTCCCTCCCACAACATGTGTGAATTCAAGATGAGATTTGAGTGGGGACACAACCAAGCCATATCTAGTTGCAAAACTGGGATTTAAAAATGGCATTCTGAATTACAGCACACACTATTTTTTTTCTGTGGAAGTATTATCTTTTTCTTTTCTTTTAAATTCCAGGGTATGTGTGCAGGATGTGCAGGTTTGTTGCATAGGTAAACATGTACCATGGCAGCACACACTGTTAACCACAGTATTGTCATTGCACTTTTTAAGTGTTCTGAAAGATACAGCTATACGTTTCCACTTGGAGGCAATTATGAAATGTTGATGTTACTTAATAGAATAAAGGAACAGGGAAATAAATAGACAAATCATATATGCCAGCTCTTTCTTTCTTTATAATGGATCACAGGAACAGTGATAGGACATTACCACTTATATATTATTGGCCAGAAATTACTCACATATCTGTAAAGGGGACTTTATAATTATAAATTATATAATAATTAAATATATATAGAGAGATAATATAAATAATATAAATATAATTATATTTTGGGTGACAGTGCACACCAACTTATTTAACTACTATGAGTCAAAGGTTTAATGGATTCAGGGAGATTAGAGATTTCTGCTATAGCCCTGTATTCCAGTTTCATATATACAGAGAGTGTTCTACTGAAATTGTTTTAAACAAAAGATCAAATTAAGAATGAAGATATGCCCTGTCTATCTGTGTACAATTATGATTGTCAGTTAAAACCTCCTACTGCTCCCTCTCTCATTCACTATCATCCAAAGTACTTCTTACTGTTCTTAGAGTAGTTGAGACACTATGACTTCCAGAGATTTCTACTGGCAAACTCTAGCTGGAAACAATTTATCCAGACACCTGTGAGTCTTGCACCCTCATCTCCTTCATGCTTTCTTCATTCACATCACTTTCTCAGTGAGTGCTTCCCTGAACATCTAGTTACATTTCAATTCTCATTTTCAACCTGGGAACCGCCTAGCCCCTTCCCTGTTTTATTCTCTCTTTAACACCAGCAGCCTCTTACATGTAACTTTTTGGCTCTTCTTTTTTTTTCTATTGTCAACCCTCCTCTAGATGCCAGACTCAAAAAGATTATCCCCACAGCCTAGAAAAAGGCTTAGCAACTAACAGGAATTCAGTGAATATTGAACACATGATTACAAATGTGAGAATGAGTTACACTTTGCCTCCACTAGAGTCACTTTAACTTATCAATGTTATGTTGTCTTTATTCTTAGCACGGGAATAGCTGTTAATTACATGTCTGTATACATTTTTAAAATTGAAATAGTCTTCATTTTTAGAGCAATGAAATATTTTAGAGCTATAAAAATAGAGAAATGCAAGGGTAGTGTGCAATACTGAGCATAAATACTTTACATCTCAAAGCTGGTTGCCCAGTAGCTCTTTTACATTTGTCTCCTCTCCGCTCCCATTTAAAACCTGAGGAGTCATCCACTAAATCATCCACTTCGTTAAGCAGAAATGCAACTCCATCTCACCAGTCTCAAAATGTTGCTTGAATTGTCTTTGTGTTCTACTGCACTTTGTCTCCACTTCCCCTCCTAATCTATTTTGCAAGGAAATCTAATTTCTTTTCTAAATTGGAGTTGTGTGCTGCCAGTTCTGATATTTTACTATCCACATTCTCATCAGTGTTATCATCTCTGAACGTCTGAATCAAAAGCATCACAGAGAATTGTTTTGAAATACATGTTTCGAATGAAATACCATCTTATTTAAACATATCAAAATTAATTTTGCTTCTCATAAAATACCTGCACGTGGTTTTGCATGTTAGCTTATATGCTGGCAATAATTAAAAACTCTCATCTTAGGTGATCATGGAAGTGGGCCTGATTTGAAAAATATAGCTAATTCTCTTATCAGCAAAACTAGTATTGCATATTTTTCTGAGGATATTGAATTTTAAATTAAACATTCTAACTAATATCTTATAATATCAGAATATGATACTTCATGGTTTTACAGAATAGTTATTTACTGTAGATTAACCCTCAAAAAATTTTGAAAGACATTAAAATATTAGTTATTTCAAAAAGTGCATGTGTAATACTTATAATCACTTTAACTTTTTTTATTATAAAAATCTGGAAGCATTATTACATTAATTATAATTCATTAATGAGATGAAATTATCTTAGTGGTAAACTTGTGAAGAACATGTGAGACTTGTATTTGTGTTTTATGCACTTATGTTTAGGTATGGGATGTGTATGTTTCATTCTGTGTATCATTTGTGCACCTGCATAGTATTATGCTCCACTGAAAAGTCTGCCTTATGGTCAGGAATGTGAAATGCCAATTATGTTCATCAGGACACAATTTGTCATCATATGCAAGGATATTTATGCTAATGTTTAATTTCCTTTTTTTATTATTAATGATGCTTTATACTTGAGAGAAATTTCATCCTGAAAGCTTCTTGGAATCATCAATCCTCATGATGTATGTGACATAGTTAAGAATTTTTAATCCTTACTTTGAAATGGGCAAAGTAAGAAACAGCTAACACGAATAAGTAGTCCAAATATCAGAAGAATGCCTTCACATAGAAAACATGCATAAGAAGAAACAAGTTCGGTGTGATTTATTCTATTTAGGTTTTTAATTTTTTTCACATTTGTGAGTGTATGTGTGTGTGCATAGAATAATTTATAGCTGCATATAGCAGGAGAATTCAAATGCAAAAAGATTATTATCCACCTTTGTTCTGGACTACTAAATACCTGAATTTATCTTTTCTTGTATCCAATGTTATTGCAACAGAGAAGCTGAAGTCATAATTTTTTCATGCATATTTAGAGAGATGCATCCAAATGTGTTAATCTAAAAAATCCTATTTGAGACATTTGGTCTGTTTAAAGCCTCATCTTACATAAATTATATTTTACTTCAGGTGACTTTTATATTTGTAATATCGCTATTCAATGTTTTAATTGGAGGTAGATTAATGTCTTTGTGTATATTGTACAAAAGAATTCTAATTCAATGCTGAAAATAATTTTATGTAGAAAGGAAAAATTCTTAGCAATTAATATACATGTGTTATAATTTAATGATAAAAGGAAAAATTCGCAAATAAGTAGAGAGAGAATAATTAACAAAGTTTCTGGAATAGGATCCCAATGGTGATAAAATATAGAAGATATTCATATAAAAGTGTAAAAACATGGAAATAAAAATTAGGCTGGGTGCAGTGGCTCATGCCTGCAATCTCAGCACTTCGGGAGGCTGAGTCAGGAGAGTTTCTTGAGTCCAGGAGTTTCAAACCAGCCTGGGTAAGATGGCAAGATATGTCTACATACACAAACACACACACACACACACACACACACACACACACACACACACACACATACACACGTTAAAAGTGTAGAGTATGTCTACCTAGAAACAAGTGCAACAAATGCAACAAATAATGATAAATGGCAACAATGTATCTCTAATTCTGTTTTTTGACTATCACTTAACCTGTTTCTTCTCTGCTTCCTTGGAAATTTGTTCCAGACTTTGCTATAGCATGTGTGATGGTTAATAGTGAGTGTCAACTTGATTGGATTGAAGGATGCAAAGTATTGATCCTGGGTGTGTCTATGAGGGTGCTGCCAAAGGAGATTAACCTTTGAGTCAGTAGGCTGGGGAAGGCACATCCACCTTTAATCTGGTTGGGCACCATCTAATTCGTTGCCAGCAAATAATATAAAGCAGGCAGAAAAACATGAAAAGGCGACATTGGCTTAGCCTCCCAGCCTACATCTTTCTCCCATGCTGGATGCTTCCTACCCCTGAACATCATATTCCAAGTTATTTAGCTTTGGGACTTGGACTGGGTCTCCTTGCTCCTCAGCTTGCAGACAGCATATTGTGAGACCGTGTGACACTGTGAGTTAATATTTAATAAACTCCCCCTTTATATATGTATTTTCCTATTAGTTCTGTCTGTCTAGAGAACCCTGACTGAAAAAGTATTTATATCTTTACAACTTCTCTACTTACATGAGCTTCTCTTCCTTTAGCCTATAGGCAACTCTAGGTCAGGGACAGAATGCAATGCATTTTCGTATACTTGTTTTTTCTACAGTGCCTAGTATATATTAAATACTTAACAAACACTTATTGAAAAAGGGAGAGAAAGAGAGAAAGGAAATTACTGGGTTGTAGAAAATAACTATATAAAGGGAAATTTAATTGCAGTGAGTAGAGTTGAGATTCAAAGTTTCATGGACAGCAAACGTTTTGTGCTCTGATCTGCCTACAACGAGTACACATATATACACATATCTTTCTATTTGTCTATTTTTTGAGACAGGGTCTCACTCTGTCACCCAGGCTGGAGTACAGTGGCACAATCATAGCTTATTGCAGCCTCAATATCCCAGGCTCAAGCAATCCTCCAACCTCAGCCTCCTGAGTAGCTGGGACTATAGGTCTGCACCACCACAACCAACTAATATTTTTGATGTTTCAGTAGAGACGATGTCTTGCTATGCCACCTAGGTTGGCCTTGAACTCCCGAACTCAAACAATCCTCCTTCCTTGGCCTCCCAAAGTGCTGGAATTATAGGCATGAGCCACCACACTCAGCCCATGTTTTAAGTGAAACAAAATACTTTCTATGCCAATCACATCAAGTTTGACAATAAGTAAGTTGATTATGATTTTGACTATCCAATGCAACTTAGCAGCAATTTTCTTTTTCTGAAGGTATTTATCTTAATCAGCTGCTTCCTTAAAAGGACCCAACACATTCTTTTGCTTAGAATATTTATATACACACATTTATTGTTCTATGTCTCCCATATAATAAGGATGTCTACGCACTGGCCTTAGACTTTGTAAAACAATTTCAGGAGAACATGTATTTTCTTAAATTATAAGGAAAATAATAAATGCCTCTATACATTTTTTACTGAATATCTATACCTTTCAAACATATCTCCAAGAGACCAAAAAAGGTAAAAATAATTTGCTCTACATGCAATTAACATTTATTTAGTATGTATGGTATGTTTTCATTTATGTGAATTTCTAGACATCAATATCACTCTATAATAGGAATTAGAGGTATATGCTGCTGAGAAAAGTTGGACAAGAAAATGTTCTTTATCTTGGTATGAGTATCGACTGCCCAGGTGTACACATTTGTTAAAACTAATCAACCTACAACACTTAAAATATATGAATATTTTTGTAGAAAAATTAATAGAGAAAAAGTGTAAAGAAAACTTAATGAAGAATCGATGTCATATTGATATTTTAGTCACTTTTTAATGTACTGATTCCATTTCTCTAAAAAGATTATAATAGGTTATAATATGATTTCTAAAATGATGATTGATGGTAGAGAATTTTTCTTGACAACAAGATTTGGCATTGATGATGCCATTTCTCTGCTTCTTGGAGATAGTTTTAGAACCATGTACAAACACTCTATGATATATAAACAGCCACCACATACTTTTGTACTTTATTAAAGATATATTTATTTAAACACCAATCAAATACTTGACAAAGGGTATAGGATCAAGCCAGGCATGATAGTGTGCTCCTGTTCCCGTGAAACAGGTGGCTGAGACAGGAGCGTCACTTGGGCCAGGAGTCCAGCCAGGGTGACATATCTTGAGCCAGGAGTTTGAGTCCAGCCTGAGAAATGTAGTAACATACTGTCTCTAAAATAAAATTTAAAATTAAAATAATAAAAATTTTAAAAAGCTAAGGATCAGAAAATAAGGATTCACAAAGCATTTGTCCTCTAAGAATCTTCACCAAGGATTAAAAAGTTAAATGTAGAACCTAAAACTATAAATATCCTAGAAGAACACCTAGGAAATACCATTCTAGACAACAGCCTTGACAAAGCATTTATGACTAAGTCCCCAAAAGAATTTCAACAAAAACAAAAATTGATAAGTAAATTTAAACCAAAGAGCTTCTGCACAGCAAAAGAAATTGTTAACACAGTAATCAAACAACTTACAGAATGGGGAAAAATATTCACAAACTATGCATCTGACAATGGTCTAATATCCAGAATCTATAAGAAACTTAAACAACTCAACAAGCAAAAACCAAATAACCCCATTAAGAAATGGGCAAATGACATGAAGAGAGACTTCTCAAAGTAAAACATATATGTGGCCAACAAATGTATGAAAAATGTTCAATATTATTAATTGTTTGATGTAAGTCAAAAACATAATGAGATACCATTTCACACCAGTCAGAATGGCAATTATTAAAAAGCAAAATATAACAGATGGTGGTGAGGTTGTAGAGAAAAGGGAATGTTTAGACACTGTTGGTGGGAATGTAAATATTTCAGCCACGTAGAGAGCAGTTGGACATTTCTCAAAGAACTTAGAACTGCCTTTTGACCCAGCAATCCCATTATTGCATAGCTACCCAAAGGAAAATAAATCGTTATACCATAAAGACACATGTACTTGTATGTTTATCACAGTAGTATTCACAATAACAAAGATACAGAAGAAACCTGGATGCCCATCAATGGTGGACTGGATAAAGAAGATGTGGTATATATACACCATGGAATGCTACAACATAAAAAAAGAATGAAATTGTGTCATTTGAAGCAACATGATGGAGCTGGAGGCCATTATCCTGAGACAATGAATGCAGAAACAGAAAACTACATGTTCTCTCTATAAGTGGGAGCTAAACACTGAGTACACAGAGACATAAAGATGGGAACAATAGACACTGGAAACTACTAGAGGGTGGAAAAACTACCTGTTGGGCACTGTGCTTATTACCTGGATGACAGAATCATTTGTACACCAAACTTCAGAGACACACAATTTACTCATGTGACAAACCTCCATATGTACCCCCTGAAGTGAAAATAAAAGTTGAAAAAGAAAAAAAAATCTGTCAATATTTGTCTCAACCTGTTCAGGATGCTATAACAAAATACTATAGTATCGGATGACTTATAAACAATAGAAATTTATTTCTTTTAGTTGTAGAGGCTGGGAAATATATGATCAAGTACCAGCAGAATTGATGTCTGGTGAGGACCATTTCTTGGTTCATAAATGGCACCTTTTAACTGCATCCTCACATGACAGAGGGGGTAACAGGCAAGGCAGCTCTTTGGAGTCTCTTATAAAGGCACTAATCCCAATAATGAGGGTGCCTTTTTCATGATCTAATCTTCTTCCAAAGGCCCCACCTCCTATACTACCACCTTGGGGATTAAGGATTTCAGCACAGAATTTTGAGCAACACATTCAGACCACAGCAACATTAAATGAAATGGAGCATACAAATACTATTATTGCACTTAATTTACCATACACACTCAATAAATGTTAACTGCATATAGAGAAAAATGTTTTTACCTTTTTTGGTCTCTTGGAGATTTTTATGAAAGCTATAGATTTTATACATTCAGTAAAAAAATATGTATGTCAGCATTTAGTATTTTCCTTAGAATTTAAGAAAATACATTGTTTGAGTTCAGGAGTTCAAGACCAGCTTGGGTGGCATAGCCAGACATTGTCTTTACTGAAACATCAACAATATTAGCTGGTTGTGGTGGCGCAGACCTATAGTCCCAGCTACTCAGGAGGATGAGGTTGGAGAATCGCTTGAGCCTGGGATATTGAGGCTGCAATAAGCTATGACTGTGCCACTGTACTCCAGCCTGGATGACAGAGTGAGACCCTGTCTCAAAAAATAGATAGATAGATAGATAGATAGATAGATAGATAGATAGATAGATAGATAGACAGACAGATAGATAGATAGATATAGATAGATAGATAGATGTAAATATGTATAACTAAAAAAGTAAAGGTTTGTTTACCTTTTCAAAATGTAGCATAATATATTGGATTCTGGAATTAGATTTCAGAATCTATTTTATTTAATGGACAGTTCCACCCTTACTTAAAACAACATATATTGCTCTAAAAGGGATAGTATATACACAACAATGAAAAATAGCACATTTTAATTTTTTGAGTAGTGTTTTTTCCATTGAAACAGACGTTATAATAGCAAAGAAAGATATACAAAGAAAGGGGAATGTGATACTTATCTTCAACTCAACTGCTGGTTTTATACATTTTCTTTAAAAAAATAATACCATCACAGTAATGGAAATCTTAGTACTGAATGATAATACTAAATTTCCAGCTTTGTTTCCAGCAGGTTACTTGTAATCCACTCTGGATCAATATTTTCAGACCTATATTTATTATCACTAACATCAATGTTATTAATATCATAGAATAGTCATCTAAAAGAATGTATAAATACAATTGCATAAATACTGCAGTATAGACAAAGATGTCAATAATTGAAACTATTATTGACATGCAATACTAACATTACATAATTTAAATAATACTCTTCATTGAGAAAAGATACATTTAATTTTTTTACAAAAAGATTGCTTAGAATGTGGATGTATAACATACAAAACGTATCTTATTCCAATGTACCACACTTGAGAGTTAAATTTCACCTCTATTTTCCTGTATTTTTAAATCTTGACAGATGTTATTTTAATTCATTTTAACACATACATTTTACATTTTGGGTATACATAAATAACACATTTTGTTTATGCATTTTAAATTTGATTTTTTTTTCAGTTACTCAGTTATGAATAATTTTTCATAAATTTAGACCTTAAACAATTTTGACTTTAGAAGGACATTTGTAAAGTAGTTTCTGTTTGGCTGATTCATATAAATTTTATACACTAAACCTCCTTTTAAATTTTCAGGATACATTACTTTTAACAATGGACTTATTAATTGTTCACTAAAGTTTGATTAATTAAACAGATTTGAAAGACCCCCTCTTTTTAAAATTTAATATGAATTTACATTCAAGTCTACAAACTGTCACTGTTATTAGATAGTTATTTTGATGAGTGTAGAAAATATAGTATATTAGTTTTATTTAAATCTTATTCTAATCTTCCTTTAAGGGAATTAAAATGATTCAAAAGAATTAATTTTGGTTAGGCAATTGATTTATGGAGTTCTATTTCTGATTATTGCCTTTTTTACAGAATAAAATTATTTTTACTATGTATCTCCTTTAATGGCTTTGAACTTAAAATGAACTTTAATTTTAAACTTAATATTCAATGGGAGAAGATAATTGTCTTTACTGATGCTTTATAATCACCTGTAAACTAGTTTATTAAGTAATTTCTCTTTTAATTAGGAAAAAAAGTAATACTTCAGAAATATCTTATCATCTGGCATTTCCCATGTGAACTACTTGGATGTTTGTAAAATAACTAAATATAATATTTTCAAGCTTTAATGGAAGAGTCAGAAGCACTTTTTTCTTTTTCTCACAAAACAAATTTTCTTAATAATTTCTAAACTTTCAAGCAATCATTATCAACATCATTTTTGCCTTCTAGATTATTTTAAAGAATTAAAATATTAGATTTAGAAGATATTCAGAATTGCAAGCATGCTTCTCTAAAATCAAATGTAATGTAATACCTTAATATATAACTGTCTTACTTTTGAAAGACATTCAATATGAGTTAATATAGTTTGAAACTTCACAGATTTAAAACATTTCTAATTTTCATTTCTGTTTCTGAATTAATATTTATTATATTGCCAAAATGATAATATAAGTTTTGAAACTCTCTCTCTCTCTCTCTGAAAATTTAAAACTTAATTCTAACATATTTCAAAATGCTGGAGACTCAGGGTAACAGAACCAAAGTATCAAAATCTTCTTAACATGGTATAAATATATTAAAGAGCCCAGCAAATAAATCTAATAACTAGAAAGAATCATGAAAGAATCTTTTTTTCTAGTTTCATGCAGAAAGATAATTCGGCTATTGAAGAAACATAATGTCTAAAACCAAACAGATAGAATACCAACTATTTTTGATACATTGATACTATACTCTAGAAAATTTGTTTATTTATGTTATTTGGAGAGTTGAAATGATATTTTTATCATTCTATAATTAGAAGGGCAGATGAAATTTCTAAACAGTTTAATTGAGATATAGCTCACATACATTTTTTCTATTTAATCTATACAATTTAATGGTTTTTAGTAAGTGCATAGAATTGGGTTACTGTTACTAAGAAAAGAAACTATACATTAGCAATTTTTCCCATTTTCTACAAATTCTCCAGCCATAAGCAACCACTAATCTAATTTCAACCTCTGAAGAATGTTCTATTCTGAAAGTTTCCTACAAATGAAATCATACAATATGGTTGTTTTTATGTCTGGCTTTTTTCATTTTCAAATTTTTAAGATTCAGTCATGTTGTAGAGTGCACCCGAACTTCATTCCTTTTTATTGCCAAATAATATTATATTGTATGGATGTACCACATTTTGCTTTTGCATTCACTAGTTTATGGATACTTGTATTGTTTTATGATTTGGCTATTATGAATAATGCTGCTATGAACATTTGTGTAGACACTTTTTGTGGATGTATATTTTCATTTCTCTTGGGCATGTACCTGGCAGCGGAATTACTGAGTAATAAGTTAGCTCCATTCTTTCTATTTTGATGGACTATGGTATGGTTTGGCTGTGTCACAACCCAGATGTCACCTTGAATTGTAGCTCCCAAAATTCCCACATGTTGTGGGAGGGACCCAGTGGGAAATATTTGAATTATGGGGTGGCTTTTCCTATACTGTTCTCATGGTAGTGAATAAGTCTCACAAGACCTGTTGATTTTATAAAGGATTTCGCCTTTAACTATTCTCTCATTCTCTCTCTTGTCTGCTACCATGTAAGACATGCCTTTCACCTTCTGCCATGATTGTGAGGGCTCCCCAGTCAGGTGGAACTTCAAGTCCATTAAATGTCTTTTTCTTTATAAATTACCCAGTCTCTGGTAGGTCTTTATCAGCAGCGTGAAAACTGACTAATACAGACTGCTAAACTTTTTTTCCAAAGTAGCTACGGTAGCTTTCATTCCAACCAGCAATGCATAAGGATTCTAATTTATATACATCATTGAGAACACTTGGTATTGTCTGTCATTTTTATTAGAGCTATCCCAGTGGGTGTGAAGTGGTATTTTATTTTAGTATCGATTATATTTTTCTAATGAATAATGTTAGGGAACATCTTTTTATATGTTTATAAATCATTCACATGTCTACTTTTGAGAAATAACTATTCAGATTCTTTGCTCATTTTTAAATTGCATTACTTGTCTTTTTTATTAGTGAGTGGTAATAGTTCTTCATATATTCTGGAAACAAGTCACTTTCCAGCTATACAATCTAAAAAGATTTCTCCCATTCTATGGGTTGTATTTTCACGTTCTTGTTGGTATCCTTTGAATCATATGGATTTTAATTTTGCTAAAGTCCGAAATATTTTGTCTTGGTTGGTTTGTGTTTATGGTGCTGCATCTAAGAAACTTTCCCTAACTCAAAGTAACAACAGCTGACACATATTTTCTTCTAAAATCTTTATAGTTTCAGACTTTACGTTTTGGCTTATTATCTACTTGGAGTTAATATTTTGTATGATGTAAGCAATGGGCTGAATTTTATGTCTTTCCGTATGGACATCAAATTGTAAAAGCACCATTCAATAAAAAGACTAGGATATTTCGGACATTATTTCTTCAGTTTTTTTTCTACTTATTTATCTTTTTTCTCTTCTTTCTCTTATTGTACTCTCATTGCAAATATGTTACTACTTTTTCTGGCATCCCAAAGACGTTTAATACGTTGTTCATTTTTCTTTTCTCTCTGTTCCTTATGCTGCATAATCTATATCAATCTTCAAGATAAACTTTTTTTTCTACCAGTTCATGTTTACAGTTGAGATCTTTTAGTGATTTTTTTAACTATAGTTATTGCATTTTTCAACACCAGTCTTTCCATTTTATTCTTTTTAATAATTTTTATCTTTTTATTGATGTTCTCTATTTGATGACTCCTTATTATCTAACTCTGTTTCTTTCAGTATGATTTATTTTAGTTTTCTGAACACATTTATAATAGCTGCTTTGAAGTCTTTGTCTGTTTTTTTTTTTTTTTCTTTTTTCATGGAGTCTCACTTGCCCAGGCTGGAGAGCAGTGACACTATCTCTGCTCACCTCTGCCTTCCAGGTTCAAGCAATTCTTCTGCCTCAGCCTCCCTCCCGAGTAGCTGGGATTACAGACACATGGCACCATGCCAGGCTAATTGTTTGTATATTTAGTAGAGATGGGGTTTCACCATGTTGGCCAGGCTGGTCTCGAACTCCTGATCTCAGGTGATCCACCTGCCTCAGCCTCCCAAAGTGCTGGGATTACAGGCGTGAGCCCCCAGGCCCGGGTAAAGTCTTTCTCTTCTAATTTGCCATTCAGCCCCTCTCAAAAGCAGTTTCTATCACCCGGTTTCCACTTCCTCACTACTCTCTCTGTATGGGTCACACTTTCCTATTTCTTTGTTTGTCTCATATTTTTTGTTACTGAGTTGAAAGCTGAATATTTTACACAATATATTATGGTAAATCTGGATACTGACACATCCTTCCTCTTCGGGATTTTTTGTTACTATTGTTTGCTTATTTACTTGTTTAATTGCTTGGCTGGACTATTTTAGTAAAGTTTATTTTCCCTATAGTATGTAGTCTCTGACGTCACTTTTCATAAGGCACAGCTTTGGCCATATTCACAATAATTCTGGGATGACAATGATTTTAGCGTGGTTTTCTTTGACTATCTTTTCCATGATCTTTCTTAAGTAGCTGCATCCATTTGCTTTGCATCCAGCTGTTAGCCTCTACTAACTGCTAGCTTAAATGCTCTATTCTTTTCCATGATGCTCAGGGAATAAACTGATCCAAAGTCTGATCCAATTAAATTCTGATCCCTTTGCAGTAGTAGTCTTTGAGGCCAGACTTTGAGATTTGTTCCAACCCCAGGAGGGCTCTTAGCTTTCTCTTTTCATGGTTCTCTTTATTAAAATTCTGGCTGCTCTATGATTTAGCCTGTTGTTCTTACAGAAACATTAATTTCTCCAGAATAGTAAGGTAAGGAATAATCTAGAAGGATATAATTATTTTCTATCTGAAAAACTCAGATATAGAATTATCACTGTAAATGCACATGGGTTACAATGACAAATTTAAGATTATTAGATTTTATTTTATTGAAAAAATAAAAGTAATTACTAAAATTAGTTAATGGAAGCTAAAATTATCTGTATCTATGTAAAACATATAGTAGCCTTAGGCTTACATTAAGCATTAAGAATATTATTTCCTATATTGTTTAGTATAATACTATTGAATTTTTTATTATATTCTATATAGAGTATGATGTTTATGACTATTTTTAAAGTGTTTTTTTTGGTGCTGTGATGTAGTTACATTGCTTATAACTTTATACACACACATATAATATTTACAGTTGTATGGAATGGTATTTTTAAGTAGGTAGTCCAAAAAATAAGGAATTGTGAAGAAATAACTACATTCTCATATAAACTTATTTTAAAAGAGCATTTGACCCCTCTGACTGTTAGTAGAGTAAATGATGCAGTAACTTATGGAAAAGTTTTGTGGTACAATTTAAATGGAACATGAATGTGTCACAGGTGAGTAAAGTAAATGCACGCTTAGATACAAATTTTATTATAAAGATGATGAGTGAGGGCCAAGTGCGGTGGCTCAAGTCTGTAATCCCAGCACTTTGGGAGGCCGAGGTGGGTAGATCACCTGAGGTCAGGAGTTTGAGACCAGACTGGCCAACATGGCAAAACCCTGTCTCTGCTAAAAATACAAAAATTAGCTGGGCATGGTGGCGGGTGCCTGAAATCCCAGCCACTCAGGAGGCTGAGGCAGGAGAATCGCTTGAACATAGAAGGGAGAGGTTGCAGTGAGCCAAGACCATATCATTGCACTCCAGCCTGGGTGACAAGAGCAAAACTCCATCTCAAAAAACAAAACAAAAACCAAAAATAAAAATGATGAGTGAGTTGCACGTTGGGATAAAATAGAGTGACATATTGGCATAAAGCATTATGAATAGTGACAAGATACTCTACTATTATTTCATAATTTTATCTAGAAACATTTATTTAGCAATGTTAACATCAAATGTATTATGCAGTGCCACCAGGCAATTAAATGCATTCTAGCTTTTAAAAGTTTAAATGCATAAGGATATATATGGAGTCTATAATTATTTCACCATAGAAAACAAAACAAAGTTAAATATTAAAAATGAAAGCATCCAAAATTCTACTTTATTACCTCATTAATACTTTGTTGCAAATAGAATGAAGTTATGGTTGCTTGTCAGGAATAGTGATAGGTTGTTGAGAAAAACATTCTGCCTCAGGTTGATCACTTCTTCTTCAGGGATTTGGTTCCTTGCCTTGTGATTTGGAAAGCTCAGTTGCCAACAAACCCTGAGATAATCAGTCATTGGCAGACACACTTATAGAAACCAAATTCTCAAGTAAAAGTTTTGTAGCTAAAGTCAATTAATTTCTAGTGAGGGTTATACCTGCCTCAGGCAAAATGTAATTCTAAGTGGATTGGACATGCAAATTCCCAAAAGGAATAATCCAGTACAATTATTTTGAATTAGTCATGAGGCTTTGGTCTCAAAATCTCCATTCCATATGTTAAACATAAAATTGAAAGTTGACACTGTTATATGTATGAATAATTTAATCAGAAAATAGACTATGACCACTGCTAAATTATTTTGCCAAAAGTGCCAAGACTACCAAACAGAATGTATTTATAGTAGTTGACAAAATTTTAAAAATAATAAGAGGATGTGCCATTTCTAGCATTAAATATGTAGACTTTTATTAAACGTTTATTTTTACCAAATTACCTGTGAGTAGTTCACTTAGTTTTTGTTGTTTAGTCATCTTTAAATTGAAGAATTGTTTAGGTATATTTTATTTAGTTAAGAAGACTTAGACTTCCTCAAATGTCCTTAAGTATGGGTACAGAGGTTATTCTAAGGATATATATGCCTATGAAATTAGCAAAATATGTACAAGTGACCCAGAAAAAATATCAATTATAGAGAAAGTTCACTATCTTCTCTGTAGTACTCTACCATTGATTTGGTTGTTCCAATTTTAGTTTTCTTTTCTGTTACTATGCCACTTTTCAACTTACTGTCTCTCAGCTCCAATTAACCATCTTTAATTACGGTTTGTGTTACTTAGGCTTAAAATCTTTAAAACTCTTTATTTTCTTGCTGCTTCCATTTGGCTTTCTGTTTTCTTTCTGCCTGCTTCCTATTCCTGTGAGTTTCATCCTAACAAGCTGGTTGAGGAGGCCAGCAGTGTTCTTTCTGTTACAGCAACTGAACTCAACATGCAGATTTTCCAGCACTTGAACAACCAGATTAATTGCTCTCACTCGAAGACAAGAGCATCCTAGTGGCTGGCATTACCTCCTTACAGAAGGGGTACCAGCTCCATGAGACCTCTCTTCAAGCCTTCTACATTTAGTCACGACAATGTCTTTCTTTTGTTCTTGTCTTCCTAGAAGTAGTAGTTACTTTCTATAATTGTAACCTTTGTGAGAACTTAACTATTCTTTATTTTTTTTTAGTTAGCTAATGAACAATTTTACACCTACTTTATCAAATCCTTATATTATGCCTTTCTCATTCATATGGCTGGTGTGGTTTCTGTCTCTTGACTGATAAGAAATTTGTTGCAGCAAAGAAATAATCAGATATTATTTGAGAATTGTATTGGTTAGATTTTTGGTCTTCAATGCAGTGCCAGATTCTTTTGACAATAAGTAATAAAATGCTAGTATTTCCTGACAAACATTACCATCATGATATGAGATCAGATCTTGAAATGCTTACTGAAGCAAATGCCTCATCAGACCAAATAGCTGCTGCATTTTCAATTTGACAGTAATGATAACTTCAATTTCTGTGATGTAGATTCTCTGAGTACACTTAAGTGCTTACAGAAACTAAATGAAATACATCTTTAATTTCTGAGGGTAAGTCACCCTCAGGAAACACATAGAGCCTCAATGATTGCCATAAAATAATCAGGAAAAATATAGTTAAAACTAAACAAAAAGTTTGTTTCCATTCCAGAATTGCAATGTGAGGTGAATTCCTTGCCTTTCAATTCTTTCACATGAATGTTATGATCATGACTGTGAAAGACTGAGCATCTAAAACTTAGAATGGAGAAATCTATTTGAACCCAGATGAATCCAAGTACTTTGAACTTTCAAGTTAGTCACTTTTTCTTGCCAATAGAAGCAACTTCTCTTCAATAGTATTAGAAGCCTTTCCTTGCTTGAAAAATCTATAGTAGCATTATTTGTAGCAGTTTTATTGCAAAGAAATGCCATTTTAAAAAAGAATAACCCCTAAAATAGCTTGTTGTCACTAGGCTCATAAATAGGGACATATTACAGCATGCTTCAGACAGGCGAGTACAAAAACTGCCCCAGGAGAAAACAGCTGATATACCAAAAGATTTTTAAGATTTTGTTCATTTCTATCAGAGGAAACATGGGAAATATGTGTGAAGATATAGTCTAAGGATGGTAGATGAAGAAAAATGGAATAAAACACTAAGTCAGTTTTACTGATGTGATGCACAGATTAATAGGATAATTTGGGCACCTGAAAGTGACTGTAATAGTTTCCTTGGCTGGTTGATTGAGGATTGCACTCAGTTGTGTTCTTCATTTAATCATGTTGAGATGCCAGAACTTTCCTGGCATAATTTAAAGAAAGACATCCAAAGAATTAAAGGGTAAAGAATATCGTAATGGACATTTCCTATGTAATATATACACCTACCCTCCCAATATGTGCCCTTGTAGGACCCAGATAACTCTCCATTTATAAAGATATCAAAAAATAAATTAGTAAATTGAACATCAGTATCTTTAGCAAGTTTGTGTTAGCTGTCCTTTGTAGGACAGATATCATGGTAAATGTTACACAATGGAAATGAGTTTTCTGATTTTAGTGGAGATTACTGGATTCCAGAAAAACAGAAGTTAGGTGGAAGCGGTAGCAGTATTTAATCATTTTTTTCTTCTTTTTTTAACTAAAAAGTGTATTAGGGACAGCGTGGTAATTAGAAAGTTTTGATCCATATGAATTTTTGTTGGTAGTTAGTCAATTGATCACGGTGTCTCTAAGAATGAGTATATAGTCTGATTATTAAATATTTACTTATCTATATATAGTCAGGTTATTAAAAATAAATACAGGTGTAGTGGACAAGAAACACAATAAGGTATTATTGCTGCTTACCCAGTTTCTAGGACTAAGCCAATTCATAGACCCAAAGAATGCAGATTGAAGGAGAATTAGGATTCCTTTGAGGAAAGACCCTGCAACATTGGCACAAGTACATACTCTAAGTACCTCTTTCATACAAGCATATTCCAAAGGGAATTGCAGCAATTTACTAGAGTAACTGCACATTGTAGAAAAGCAAATATCTAAGCCTTGCAAAATTACAAGACACTATCTCTGAATTGATGGCAAATCATGACAATATGAAATGCCATAATTGTTAATGGTCTGCCAGCCAAGGGAGTATTTTATTTGATTCAGGTGTTAAATATGGCTTTGACTTAAGTTTCCATCACACTGAGCCCAATATCTTTGAAGTCTTGTCTTATGGTTATCTCTCCATTCCTGAATATGTAGTAGAAATAGCCATGAACAGCAACTAACTACATCCCCACATTTGCCCTCCAAGCGATGGTGCAGAGCCATTATGGTAGAAAAGGTGAAGTGGAAGCCCCTACACATTTCTTCTCTTCCAAGATTGTACCAGCAGCAGTAACACATTCCTAGGGTATTGTAAATCTTAGGGTGACTATCACAATCTTGAAAGATGTGTGAACATTCCTATGACAGCACTATTTAACTTGCCTCTTCTGCCTGTGCAGAAAGTGGGTAAATCTTGGAGAATAAAATTTTTTCTTTCATTTTTTTTTCCTTTTTTTGGAGAATAAAAATTACTGTGAAGTAGGGACTCAAGTTGCCTCTGCTGTTCCAGGAATAGTATATTTTTTGGAGTAAAGTGACACATCCCTGAGTATTTGTAACTATTAACCTGAGTAATTCATGTTCAGGTTACATATCAATTGGAAAAGTCTGTCGAAAGCTGTTGCTTTTACCTGATAGGATCAACAAAAAATTTTGCCTCAGGACTATATCTACTTTCCTGCATACTGCAATAATATAGTCTGCAGGGATCTTAACAGTTTTAATATTTCATATGCCCTCACATTCTTCCAGTAACATTATGGCTTATTAGACTTAATGAAGAAGTGGCAGGTACTTTAGATTCCTTAGTAAGACATTTATGAATCAGAAGATGGTATGCAAACCCCAAGAATATTTAAGGGCCTGCTAACACCAGGAAGTTTCAGAGAATACAAAGGTATGGAGCATATCATAATATTCTCTTTGGACAGAAAGACAAGTTGCCATACTTTGCACTACTACTATCACAGAAGAGACACAATGCTTGAAGGGCCTTTTTGCATTTGGGAGCATCATATGCCCTACTTAAGTGTGCTACTTCAAACTGTATGAAATAACCTGTAATTCTACTAGTTTTTAGTGAGAATCAGAGCAAAAGATGGCTCAGCAGTAATTCTAGGCTGAAGTCCAGCTACTCTTCTACTTTGCTGGTGAACAAGAACAGCCAATCATGTTCAAAGTGTCTGTGACAAGTAGAGAGTAATATGAAGCCTTTACCAAGGAACAGTAGAAGAATCATAGTGATGTCATATACCGTTTTTGAGAAACCCTTGCCCTCTTCTGCAAAAATCTTTGCTTGCTCACTTGCTCTTTCTTTCTTTTTTTTTTTTTTATTTTGAGACACGGTCTGTGACGGTTAATACTGAATGTCAACTTGATTGGATTGAAGGATGCAAAGTATTGGTCCTGGGTGTGTCCTTGAGGGTGTTGCCAAAGGAGAGTAACATTTAAATCAGTGGGCTTGGAAAGGAAGACTCATCCTTAATCTGGATGGGCAGCACCTAATCAGCGGCCAGCATGGCCAGAATATAAAGCAGGCAGAAAAACGTGAAAAGACTAGACTGACTTATCCTCCCAGCCTACATCTTTCTCCCGTGCTGGATGCTTCCTGCTCTCAAACATTGGACTCCAAGTTCTTCAGCTTTGGGACTCAGACTGGCTTCCTGACTCCTTAGCTAGCAGACAGCCTATTGTGGCACTTTGTGATAGTGTGAGTTAATACTCCTTAATTAACTCCGCCTTATATATATATATATATATAATAGTATATATATATATATATAATAGTATATATATATAATAGTATATATATATATATATATATATATATATAATAGTATATATATACTATTAGTTCTCTTTCTCTACAGAACCAGAACCCTGACTAATTTTTGGTACCAGAAGTGGTTCTAGAGGAACAGAATATTGAGGATGGAATTCTTCCATTGGTTTTGAGGATTCTGGAGTTGGTTGCTTAATATGATTAGACTCCAAAATTCTAAGGACTCTACTTCTAATAGTATGGAGAACACTGACAGTCCTTGGCATAAACTGTTTACAGAACTATGCAAAATAAATGTATTTGACACTCCTGATTCACTGCTCATGAGAGGCATGAGTTTAGTGACCAAGGAACATAATGAAGTTGGTTGGTTTTTTCTAAGTTCACTGGACAAAGTGATGAAACAAAAGGATGAACTCAAGGATTCTAACTCCCAGCTTCAGAAGCAGATACTGAGCCTCAAATCTTCTAAGATTGCCGTGAGTGAGAGTCTTGTCTCCTACAGAGAAAGAGCTGAAATTGTGGAAAATCAAACACAAGCTCTTATCATGCAAGCGGCTGACCTACAATGAAAGGTTCATGCACAGCCTCACCAGGTGTCTACTGTTAAAATGAGGACACTGGTTGGAAAAGAATGGGACCCTGCAACTTAGAATGGGGACTTGTGGGAGGACCCTGATGAAGCTGGGGACAATGCATTTGTAAACTCAGATGTACCTTTTTTGCCAGAAGAAGCAGCTTCCCCATTCCCAGTAGTGGCAACATCCCCTTCCTGATCGATGCTGCCTAAAGCCTTTCCACTTTTGTCTAAGGAGAAAAACCCTGTGCTGCCTGAAGAAACAGTCATGGCCTCACCTGAGGCAGTTGCCAGGCAAAGCAATGTTGGTTCTCCTCAGGACCCACCCCCAACACCTCTGTTTGCTTCTAGACCTATAACTCGGCTAAGGCCCCAGCAGGCCCCTAGAGGTGAGGTTCAGAGTGTGACCCATGAGGAGGTGCACTACACTGGAAAATAACTACTTGAGCTTATATATATATATATATATATATATATATATATATATTATTGACTTTGAGTTTGAAGGTTCTTAAAGTATAATAAAATATATATATATAAATTTATATAAGCAGAAATCTGGAAAACAGGTGGATGTTAGGGGTGTGGGATAATGGTGGAAAGAATATAGAGTTGTATCAGGCTGAATTTATTGATTTTGGGCAATTGAGCAGGAATTCTGCATTTAATGTTGCAGCTTGGGGAGTTAAAAATGGTTGTAATAGTTTATTTGCCTGGTTAGCTGAAATATGGATTAAAAGATAGCCCACTGTGAGCAAGCTGAAAATGCCTGATCTCTCTTGGTTTAATGTAGAGGAAGGGATCCAAAGACTTAGGGAGACTGGGATGGCAGAGTGGATTAGTCACTTTAGACTTGCTCATCCCGGCTGGGAAGGTCCAGAAGATATATCCTTGCCCAGTGCTTTGTGTAATAGATTGGTGAGGCCAGCACCTGCATTTTTTAAGAGCCCTGTAATTTCTCTTCTCTGTATGTCAGATCTAACAGCGAGAAGCGCAGTCACTCAACTATAAAATTTAAATACAATGGGAGTAATTGCATCTTGAGGTGGCAAGGGCCAGTGGCGGCACTCAACTGTCAAAGGCAAGGTGGACATAGCTACCGTAATGGACATCAAAGGCAAAACAGCAATCAGAACTGTCTGACTCATGTAGAGCTCTGGCATTGGCCAATTAATCACGGTGTTCCTGGAAGTAAAATTGACAGGAAGCCTTCTGCATAAGAGAATCAAGTAGCAGATCTGCATAAGAGAATCAAGTAGCAGAAGTCGAAGTGGCTCTTCTTATTATGAAAACAGGCTCAATAACAGTTATTGCTTCTCATCTCCTCCATTTTTATCTCTGCTTTTGTGGAAGTGCTGCTTCCAAGAGAGGTATGTTCTCACCTAAGAAACAGCTGCAGTTCCATTAAATTGCTACTTAAAACTGTCACGTGGCCTTTTTTTGCACTCTATACTATGGAACCAACAGTTAAATAAAGGGGGATACTCTGCTCACTGGGGCAACTGATTCAGACTACCGAGAGGAAAGTTGGTTGCTACTATAAAATGAGGACAGGAAAGGTTATGTATGAAACCCAGAGAATTATCTGAGGCATCTTATAGTCTTCTCTGTATTACAATATAAGTGAATAGGAAAATACAGCAATCTAAAAAAGAGTAACCACTCAGGCTTCAGATCTTTCAATATTGAAGGATTGAAGGTACTATACTAAGAAAAGGAGCATGACCTGAGCAATTGAAGGCAATGAAAGCATGGACGGAGTTCTGGAAAAAAAAGAGGTTATAGATATTAACTATGGCCTAAAGCCTATGGCTTAAGGGCAAAGAAAAGTGGAATAAATCATGTAAGATAGAAAAGTTATAAATATCAGCTATGCCCTCAAGACCAGTTTAAGAAATAATTTATGCTTTATATATTTATATATTTTCTTCCTCATTTGTTGTGTGTTTGTCATTTTTTCCCTTTCATCCCTACTTATTATTTTATTCAAATTTTATAGAAGGTCACATTAGTCATTCAGTAAAAATTTTACTTCCCAGGTAACAGTACTTATAATTCAGGGAATAGAATATATAGACATGACTGTGACTGAATTTGAGGGTGAATTAACATAGATCAGAGAGAGAAAATGTGACAGTCTTCCAGAGTCAGATACAATGATGGTTAGAATTTTACATGATTTTTTCAGCAGAGTGTAAGAACATCTTCACTTGAATGAAAGTTAGTAGCATCTTATTAAGGGTAAACATAGATTTTTGTTGTTGTATGGAAGTTAAAATATGTACAGAAGAGCATGTGTGAAAGCTGAGTGCCCAAAAGAGAGTGTGACAGTTAATAAGGTTTTGTCTCTCAGAGCCAAACCCATGATCTGCTTTTTGATACTGGAGCTGGGATTCTAAAACTATATATCTATTTTGACAGCTGACTCCCTGTTGGTCTCTGTCTGTACAGGGTGTTAGAGAAGGAGAGAAAGGCAATAGTAGAAAGATGCAGCTTTTCCCTTATTGGTGGCTTTCTATCTACTTCTTGGTTCTGTGAGCATTGCCCTAGCAATGTTTAACCCAAGAGGCTGCAGTTTCTCTTTGCAGCAAGATGGTGAATGAAGTTTGCAGGATTTTTTTCAGCATATGCAATACCAGGCAGATTGTGTCCCATTCTAAAACACCAATTCCAGAGGCTCAAGCTCCCATCTTAAAGATCTGGCTACCAGATCATTAAGTTTCCTCCTCCAAGGTCAAAAACTTTAGCACGAGTTGTCCAACACCTCTTTCTTAACAGCCAGTCTCAAAAAGCCCTTTCCTTTGGAGGCCACTTGTCAAAGCCTCTAAATCTCAATAATTTGAAATTCTTCCTTGTATTCTCCAGCTATAGGAGAGGTGGAAGTTTCATTTTAAGAATAATAAATTTGTTATGCTCTTATTGCCTTTAAGTCACCTAGGTAAAAATTCTCTACACTAATTTCTCTCTATCCATATAACTGGTGAGGTTTCTGCCTTTTGGCTGAATCTTGATTTATACAGCTATCCATTGATTGATACTTTCCATTCATTCGGTTGAAGTTCCCATAAGGAAGAATTTATTTTGCCTAAAATATATTTTTAATTCTGGCACCATACATTTTGACTGATCTTGGATGAGGGGCCAACTTCCAAGCAAATCAAATATAAAAAAAGAGTAATGCAGTAAAAGTAACCTAATAAAATTCATTACCACCTAAGGCCTGTAGCCAGAGCATTTCCCAAGAAGCTAGAGGCATGTTGGGAACTGTGATTTGCAAGTCTAGAATAAAGTATTGCTTCCTCACTTGTAGTGAAAATTGGGATATTAAATGAGATGGTGTATGTACAAGTGCCTTGTACAGTACCTGGTGTGTATTTAGTGTATTAGTTTTGTATTCTTTAAACTTTTAGGTTTTTTTTCACTGTCTAGACACACACACACACACACACACACACACAATTTTAGAGCCAGAGTCTCACTCCATTGCCCAGGCTGGAATATAGTGGCATGATCATAACTCTTTGCAACCTCCAACTGCTGGATTCAAACAATCCTCCTGCTCAAGCCTCCCAAGTAGCTAAGACCACAGGTGTATGCTGTCATGCCTAGCTAATTTTTGTATTTATTGTAGAGATGGGGTCTCCTTATGTTGTCCAGGCTGGCCTTGAATTCCTAGCCTCAAGTGATCTTCCCACCTCTACCTCCCAAAGTGCAAAGTGTTGAGATTACAGGTGCAAAGCCACCATGCCTAACCCATACATTCTTCTAATATATATATGTTTAGCCAGCATAGAAAAAATATCAAAGAGCAAAGCATCTGTGTTTCCTGTTATCTGGTGGCTCTTGGATGGCATGTGTCCTCTGCAGAGCTGATCTAAATGTTTATTACATTCTTTCTAGATTAGGTACTAGTGCCTCCTAGGTAAATTTCAAACTATTTGCTTATCTATCATATCTATAAACATTAGTTTTATCCTGATGCTCCTGAGTTTCAAATGTGAAAATGGGATGACCTTTTATTATATCCTGACTATGTTATAAGATGTTCAGTTCTTTAATATTGGGGTCAAAAGCACTGGAATTCACTTTAACAATTTAGATGACTTGAAAAAAAAACACCTTGCTAAAACTCTCTATGCACATTGTTTCAAGGAATGAGAAGTCTTGGCAAGTTTGGAAGCCACTCATTTCTGTGCCACTGCCTTTCTTCTGAATGGACAGTTTGCAGTTCATTTCAGATATATTGAGTTCAGTAATTCTACAGCAGTGAAAAGATAAGGAAATGGGATAGCAAGTTTTAATTTCTTTGTCAGTGGAGTCTAATAATTTCTAGAGATTAGCCTTTATCGGATTTCAGTCTTAGTTTTGCTTGTTAGACTTACATAGTGCTTTTTCTTCTAAGAACACAGAGCTCTGTGCAAAGGCTTTGGAAATCATAACATTTAATATAATAGAAGTGAAAAAACACAAAAATAAAAATGAGAAGGTGGTGTGTAGGCAGTAGGGTTAGGATAAAACAGTAAGAAAACTAGGAAACAGCAAATTTGCAAATTCTCAGGCAATGATGCTTGTGCCAAGTCTTTGAAAGATAATAGAAGTACTAATCTGTAAGTCTCCACAGTAAGGAGAAAAATGGATTAAGACTGTTAAATTGGTCATGCTTTACTATCTAGTTCTTTATTTTACACCATTATAAATAAAACTTGATGTGGAACAGCTTAACTAGCAAGTATATCTGCAACTGTAGACTCTTGAAGGTTTCAAGCTGCTAAATGGCAGAAAAAATTCAGGATTTGACCTCTTTCCGTTTATGCTCTTATCACTTTCTCCCTCTCTCTCTTTCTCTCTCTTTTATTATGTTCTTTCATCCTCAGAAAATCCATGTGAATGTCAAGGAGAGATGGGAAAGCAATAGGGCAGTAAGATCAGTTGATGCAATTCCTTTTTAGTAATTATGTCTAAGGAGTATAAATTGGGAGCATATACCAGATTTCAAAATAATTAAATCTTATGCAAGTGCTGTGTAGAAGAAATATTACTGTCATTTAGTAGATTTTATCCTAAAAATTTTCACTATTTCTAACAAACTCTATACAAGTTATTGATAAGAGTATTAACCAATATGTAAATTTAATGTACATCATCAATGAGAAAATTTAATTCCTCATTTTATGTAACCACTCTTTTAATTAATTTTCAGAATATTTGCCCATATATCAGAGTAGAATACTAATGATTATTAAGTGTCCCTCAAAGTCAGTGTTTTAGGTCTTTGATAAAATTATCTCATTTATTCTTCATTGAAACCCTGTGCATACTTCTACTTCTGGAAAGAAATAGTAGAAGTACTTTTTCATATTTCTCCAGCGAGATATAATTAAAAACTCTGACCATTATATAAAAAATAGACGTAAGGCTCTGAAAGGTGAAGAAAAGGAGGTAGACTAATTAAGAGCCTTGAGACCCAAGGAATAACATGGCAAGTTATTGGTTTTTTTTTTTACTAATTTTCCCAGATTTAGTGATAGAGAAGCTAGCAAACCAGAAATGCCAATTGCAGATGAAAAGAAACAAATAAATACTTGCTCTCATTAGCCAAGTGACCAGTCAAAGAAAGGTGCCTAACAAAACAAATATTTTAGACAAAAGAAAACCCCTCTATTCTAACCAAACACACAGATAAAAAGCATAATACCAGCTCCACCTCCAGCAGCAAAGACTTGGAGTACCAATTGGAGTACTTAGGGTAACAATCCCACCTGGCTGTAAGGAATTACCCCAACACCGCTGCTAAAGTTATAACAAAGAAGGTGTTTTATCTGCCCCACTCCCACCAGTAGTGTGAATGCACACCAGAGGAGGAGCCTGCACTTCCAGCCTTACCCTCTGAAAACGAGGTGCCTTACCCTTCCACTGGGGTGGCACCAGTAGAGGCCTAACAGAGAGATAAGGCTTTCACAACCACTCAACAGTGCGGAGCTTTCCTCTCCCAGCAGTGTCACTGAAAGCCATGTGGAGAAAGGTAACAAGAGTCCTGCCCCTCCCAACTAGGTTGGTTTCAGCAGAGGCAGACCAGGAACTGGAAATTCCATCCCTACTCAATAGTAATGAGAAGCCCTTTCTTCAATCCTGGGTATCATTGGAGGTCAAGAGGGAAATCTGGGTTTCTATGCATCTGCTTGGCAGTAATGAGACAGTAACTCTCCACATCCCCTTCTAAAGTGATGTCAGAAGACACTGGCTAAACTGAATAAAGAAAAATAAATAAGATCTAGAGTCTTATAATAAAACAAACGGTCATTTTTTTCAATTGAAAATCACTTTTTATTTTATTTTATTTTACTTTAAGTTCTGGGATACATGCGCTGAACATGCAGGTTTGTTACATACGTGTACATCTGCCATGTGGTTTGCTGCACCTATCAACCTGTCATCTAGGTTTTAAGCCCCACATGCATTAGGTATTTGTCCTAATACTCTCCCTCCCCTTGTCCCCCACCCCCTGACAGGCCCCGTTCTGTGATGTTCCTCTCCCTGAGTCCATGTCTTCTTACTGTTCAACTCCCACTTATGAGTGAGAACATGTGGTGTTTGGTTTTCTGTTCCTGTGTTAGTTTGCTAAGGATGATGGTTTCCAGCTTCAACCATGTCCCTGCAAAGGACATGAGCACATTCTTTTTTTACGGCTGCACGGTATTCCATGGTGTATATGTGTCACAATTTCTTTATTCAGTCTATCATTGATGGGCATTTGGGTTGGTTCTAACTCTTTGCTATTGTAAATAGTGGTGCAATAAACATACGTGTGCATGTATCTTTACAGAAGAATGATTTATAATCCTTTGGGTATATACTCAGTAATGGGATTGCTGGGTCTTTTAATATAAAGAAGTGGGAAAATTTTAGATTGAATGAAAAAAGGCAATCAATAGATACCAACACCATATGACAAATATGACAATTATCTGACAAGGATTGTAAAGCAGACATCAAACAAACGTTTCAATAGACAACTACAAGCAAGCTTAAAACTAATTTAAGAAATAGAACATGTCTTCCATGAAATAGAAAATATGAGCAAAGAAAAAGTAAATATGCAAAACCAAATATAAATTTTGTGACTAAAAATGTAGTAACAAAAAACAAGTAAGAAAAAGAAAAGAACTCACTGGGTAGGCTTAAAACAGAATGGAGGCGACAGAGGAAAGAATCAATGAACTTGAAGATAAAACAATAGAAATCATCTAATCTTAACCACAAAAGAAAATGAACTGAAATGAAAATGAACAGAACCTCAAAAACTTATGGGACAATTTAAAAATATATGGCAATTAATATGATCACAACCCATAAGGAGAGGAGAAAGGAAGTGTGGCTGAAAATGTTTTCAAAGAAATAATGACTCATAATTTTGCAAAAGATGCAAGCCCACAGATTCAAAAAGCTGAGCAAAACCCAGACAATACAAGCCTAAAGAAATCTGCCAAAACACACATAATCAAACTTCTGAATATTAAAGATAATAAGAAAAGTAAAAAGCAGTAAGTAAAGATAATAAAAAGTGGCCAAATTAGAAAGGAAGAAATAAAATGATTTCTATGTACAGATAGCACAATGATCTTTGTAAAAAAAGTGGCCAAAATATCTACAAAAAAAAAAAAAATCCTATAACTAGTCTAGTAAGTTTTCAGTATACAAGTTAAATATGTTAAAAATATAATTTCTGTATACTAGCAGTGAATACATACACAAAAGAATTAAATATATGACACTATTTAGAAACACTCAAAAAGAGAAATATTTAGATGTAAATAAAACAAAACGCACACAAGACTTTTTTTACTGAAAACTACAAAATTCTAATATAAGAAATCAAAGAAGATATAAAAAAGGGAATAGGTATGCTATGTACATGGATTGAAAGACTAAATGTAATAAAGATGAAAATTCTCCTTAAATTGTTATACATGTTTAACACAATTCTTTTCAATATCCCAGCAAGATTATCTTACAGATATAGGCAGGATTATTCTTAAAGTTATATTTCAAGGCAGTGGAACTAGAATACCTAAAACAATTTTGATAAAAGGATAAGAAAATGGGAAAAATTACTTTACCTGATATGAAGACTTATTATATAACTGCAGTAATCAAGGCTGCATGGTATTGGTGGAGAGAAAACTCATAGATCAATAGAGCAGGATAGAGAACCCAGAATTATCTTTGTGACAGCATAACTAATGGGGTTTTTTTAAGGTCCAAAAATAATTAAGTGAAGGAAAAAAATAGTATTTTCAACAATTGGAGATGGAAATATTAGACATGCACAAACCAGAAACCTTGATCTATTTATATCTTATACAAAAATAAGATGGATTAGATATTTAAATATAAAAAGTGAAAATTATGACTATTTAGAAGAAAACACACAAAAGCATCCTTGGCACATAGAAGTTGATGATGTATTCTTAAACATAACATAAAATACATGATCCATAAATAAAAAATCAATAAATATAATTTCATCAAAATTAAAATATTTTGTCTGTTATACCCCATCAAGAGGATATAAAGAAAAATTACACACTGGAAGAAAATGTCTGTAAACTAAATATCTGATAAAGAACTCATATATAGACTATATAAGCAACTCTCAAAATTCAACTGTTAAAGCCTAACTAGAAAATAAACAAATACATGAAACAGGAAGAGACATTTTACCAAAGGTAACACACAAATAGCAAATGAGCGCATTTGTTCAACATCACTAGCTAGTGGGAAAATGCAAATGAAGACTAATGTAAAATATTATTACTTTGTCAGGAGATCCAAAAAAGCACCACCAGGTTGCCGATTCACTAGGAGGACTCACAGGACTTAGCATATTGTCATACCAATGGCCATCATTTATTATAGTGAAATAATGCAAAGCAAAATTAGCAAAGGGAAACTGCATAGAGAGAATTCCGGTAGAAATGAGGCAGAAATTGCCAACATTTCTCTCCCAGTATAGTCACACAGGACACACTTTCTCCAACAATAAGTTGTAACAACAAATATGAAATGTTGTCTATCAAGGAAGCTCATTAAACTCATTTCTCAGGATTTTTACTGGGGGATGGTCATGTAGGCACTCACTGACTAACATATATCAAAATCCCAGACTCCCAGAATGAACATAGATGCTCAACATAAACCAAATTTTTGTACAAACAGTTTAAGTACAGGTAAGCCATTTTTATCAGAGAATCGTGGAGACCCTTTCAAAATCCACGTTTCAAGATGCCAACCAAGAGCCAGCCTTGCAAGCAGGCCCCTTTAAGGTTAGCAATCTCAGATTTGCTATGTTAACCCCTCTGCACAACCGTATGTCTATTAGAGCAGCTAAAATAAAAGTAGTAACAATAACTATGTCTATTAGAGCAGCTAAAATAAAAGTAGTATCAATAACAAATGTCGGGGCTGGACGCAGTGGCTAAGGCCTGTAATCCCAGCACTTTGGGAGGCCAAGGTGGGCGAATCACGAGGTCAGGAGTTTGAGACCAGCCTGGCCAACATGGTGAAACCCCGTCTCTACTAAAAATACAAAACTTAGCTGGGTGTAGTGGTGGGCACCTGTAATCCCAGCTACTCGGGAAGCTGAGGCAGGACAATTGCTTGAATCCCAGAGGCGGAGGTTGCAGTGAGCCGAGATTGCACCACTGCACTCCAACCTGGGTGACAGAATGAGACTCCGTCTCAAAATAAACAAACAAACAAACAAACAAACAAACAAATGCTGGCCAGGATGTGCAGAAACAGGATCTCTCATGTATTGCTGGTTGGGATGTAAAATGACACAGTCACTCTGGAGAAACAAAGCACACATTTACCAGCAATAGTATTTCTGGGTATTTATTACAGAGACATGAAAGCTTAGGTCTATACAAAAATGTACACAAGTGTTCATGGCAACTTCATTTGCAACAGTTCAAAACTGGAATCAAAATCTCCTTCAATGGGTGAATAATTATATAGTGTTGCATGTACACAATGGAATTCAGCTCAGCAATAAAAAAGAATTAATTATTAATACTTGAAAAAACTTGGACAGATCACAAAGATATTACACTGAGTGAAAAAACACAATCTCAAAGGTTGCAAAGCATATAATTCCGTTTATGAAACATTTTCAAAATGAAAAAAATATGAAGATATAGAACATATTAGTAGGAGTAATGGATGTAGGGCAGGAAGAGAGTAGGATTGATTATAACAAGGTAGCACAAAGGACATCTTTGATGTGATTAAATAACTCTGTACCTTAACTATGACTTATATGAATCTACGTATATGATAAAATGACATCTAACTACAAAATCAATTTCCCAGCTTTGATTTTGTATTATGGCATGCAAGATGTAACCAATGTAAGAGAACAATGTGAAAGCTATGTAAGGCCTCTCTACTATCCTTGCAGCTTCCTTCAAGTGTATAATTATTCCAAAAATGTAAAGGTAAAAACTATGAATCAATAAGTACTCTCATTATTTTATACATGAGACTATAGTACTCTCTGCCTTGATGAATTTCTTAAATTGCATGCTTAAACAAGTGTGCCAACTAGCTTATATTTCAAATAAAATATCAATCTATTTTATTTCCAAAATGTATGTCAATGGGTTATTCTATAAATAAGAAATAATAAATTTTCAGAATAAAGAGGAAGAATACACATAATAATTGCTCATCAGTTAAGTGAAATCTATAAAGTGGGTACAATTGATCTATATGTACAGAAGTCCCAATTGTACCTACTTTTTTAATGTGTCTTGATCCTATATTACACAGTAAGCAGTATAGTAGGATTATATATATATATACACACACATATATAAAATAAAATAAAATAAGATAAAATGTCCTACTATATGTATTGTAAATATATATATATAGACTTAATCCTCAAAACAACAAAAATCCTTGAAAAGTAGATATCATCATCTTCATATACAAAGGAGACCATGATGTTTTAGAGATGTTAAATAACTCACCCAGGACAGCAGAAAAGGTTTTTTGTGGCTTTCTTTTCCCACAAAAGTGATTACTTTCTTTTCCCAAATGAATATATACTTCCATGTGTAAGTTTTAAAAAACTTAAAGTATCAAGATCTATACATATTACTGTTTACAAATCACTTAAAACCAAACATATTTGAAATCTGTTATCTTCATAGGTATATTGTTGTTTTTCCTTCAACTTCATTTTGGAACCTAAAAAACTATTTCAAGAAAGGATTTCTACATTTATGAGGCATTATCTGCAATAATTAAAAATTAAAATATATTTTAATTAAGAATACTTAAATAATGATACATACAATAAATGATTCATCATGTATGGCCACATGGAAAATGCAGGAATATAATGCTAACTTAAGCAACAAAAGTTTGCAATATGATAATACTTAGGATAATATATGCGCACATATGAATAAGAACTGAAAATGTTTCATTAAAATTTTTGAATAATAGCCTTTTCTTCAAAGTTTTATTTTAATGTTATTATATTATTTTCTTAATAGTTTCCAAAACTAAAGGCCATTAGAAAGTTTCATCAGCTTAGTTATTTGATGGCATTTAATTGTAGAGAGAAGAATTGGTAGAGGGTAAAATCTGTTTAGTCTTACAGGTACACTTTTGTGTTCTATACACTGCTAGTATTCAAAATTTAAAAATCACTATAATTTAGAAATCTGGGGGATAACACTGCAAATAAACATTTACAATGTTGAATAATATATATAATTCTGTATTTATTGAACAGATGGTGAATAATATTTATAATTCTGTATTTATTGAACAGACTATAATGTATACCACAAACACTTTTTGGAATCAAAAAGGAAAGATAGCTAATGAAATGTCTGAGTTATGTATAATGAAGTTAAAGAGCGCTCTAGTTTTAGAAATTTTTTTTTCATTCTGAAAAGATTCTGAAGTTACACAACCACTAGAATAGACTCCATAAATTTTTACACCATGTATCTCATTTTATTTTTTTCTTTCCTAATATCTCATCTTACTGTTTTGTCCCCTAACTTTGGTTTTCTATCTTCATATTTAAGAGGATTTGGTTTAGAAAAAAAGAGTAGAAGGTAAGAAAAATAAATTATATTTTTTCTTTTTTCTTCACTCCATTATCCACCACCTTACTCCGTATGGTATAGACTCATATTTCATATGTAAATTTTTAGACTAAAAAGTGAAAAATTTTTTTTTCTTGGGCAGAGGTTAAATTACATTTCTAGAACATTGCTGAAGAATACTGATATTAATAATAATGAGGTTCAGAAATAGTTTACTAAATTGTACAGTGTTCCACAAATTTTAAATAAGTATCTCTCATGATCTTCACAACCAGAGAAATGTTGTTCAAATGTATTATATAATATAAATAGCAAAGTCTATAAAAAGTTTCTAATTACATAAGTTTTTGAAGTCTGAAAGACTTCCTAGAAAAAAAAAGTCGTGATTTTTATATTTTACCAGTTTCTGAGTTTATTTTGATCTTATGTGGAGATTTTCTCAGGAAAACATAGATTTTTTTTTAAAAGTGTTGTCTCAAGGGTAAAAATACAGAACATATATTTAAACTTTGAACTTATACTGGCATACTAAGAGGGCATAAATCAGAACTGATGGGAGAGGAGAAAAGATTTTATTTCAACAGGCAAAATTCCATCCTTTGTTGAGAAAATGTATTGACTATGAACAAATTTATTTCACAAAACTTAACCCTTTCTCTTGCTACTGCGCTTAACACTAGAAAATAAAATTATGCTTGATTAATAAAAAAGTAGCAAACATGAAATCTATAGTTTATGTATAAAGCCTTATTTTTATTACACCATCATTTCCATCAGATGTATTTATTTATTTAACAAACATTTGTTACTATCTTTTAGGAAATATGCTATTATAGGTGTTAAGAATAAAAAGATAAATGGTAATGAAACTTAAATTTATTTAGCCTAGTATAGTAAGGTAGAAGAAAACCTATGCACTAAATAATTATAATACACTATAAAAATGTTTTTGTTGGAATACACATACACCCAGATATAACATATGTTTTTTTTGGAATATACATACACCCAGATATAATATATGTGTGTACTTAATATATATGGGTATATCTATACACAATTCTAAGAGAGCACAGAGGAAAGAAAATCAGTATTGCCTGTGCCTTATGAGGAATGCTGTAACAAGGAGGTTATATTTGAACTGGGTCTTCAACGATAGTCAGACTTCATTTGGGGGGAGTTGATTTTATACAGTGAGGAGCAAACTATGCCAAGCTCTATGATTATAAAATAATATAACATGTCTAAGATACAGCAAAAAGTTTTATAGACTACACTGTAAGAGATGGGGTGGGAGGATAGAGAGAGGTATAGCAAATAAGGCACCAGAGCTATGCTGTGCATTGTAAGCCTGCAGTTTATGCTTGCCTAAGGGCTCCATTTATTCCATACGCCCAGGGTGCCAAAACAGTTTTACTGCTGGTAAATAGATGACTTATTTCCATTTTAAGAGTAATAACTGAAGTGGCTAGAAGACTGTTTATAATATTTCATGTGACAGATATGAGAGCTTGAACTAAGCAGTAACAATGAGAAGAGAGAGAGAAAAACAGACTTTTAGAGACATCTCTGAAGTACTTTTGACAGGATTACAGTTAAAAGACTTGCTGAACACTGTTACCATTAAGTGACATAAAAAACAAAAGCAATTTTCTTTTCTGTTTTTATGTGCTATGAAATCAAGCAAATCACCTTTAGTTTTATTCTTAAAATTTGAAATACAGTACTTAGTGGTTCTTTGTAATCCATATGAGACCCTTTCCAGATGACAGACATTAATTGATTAGTTATTGAATAAAGGAGCATATCAATGTAAACATGTTTGTATACATTTGCAGTTTTAAATTTGAAAATAAGATAACTGTGTTTTTTAAAGTTCAAATATTTGACCACATATCCTGGCTTCTTGTCAGGTTAGGATAGAGCCTCCTGAGTCATTAGCTGTGTGATCTATATTGTACTATATTGCCAGTACCTTTTGGCTCATCACATAGCTTGGTACTATCTTGCTGATGCTTAATGCTATTTCAGTGTCATGTGACGAAATTGAACATGCTGCATAATTAATAGATTTAATAAATATATGATACCTATATTCTAAAACATTTGTGAAACTCAAAAAATTGTCAGTTCAATGCTGGTCACAAGAGAGTCAAAGTGTAAGAGTTTTCTATCCAAAAAAATTCTGACCAATCTTATATCTTGTTTAGGGATCATCTATAGGGAAGTATATGCATGTATGTATGTGTGTATATTTCTGATTGGAACATTTTCTCATCTCATGTAATTAAATACTTAACAATTCTTTAAAGACCATATTAAATGCCACTTTTTGTAGTTTTCTCTCATCTGAATATGTGCACTTTGTTAGTTATCTGAATCACTGTAATGTTTTTGCCTCTCAATTGAATTTACAACAATTTCTGTTATATTTTATTTAACTATTATCTAACTAAAACATTGCCTGAGAGTTAAAACAACATCAGATTCAACTTTTTATTGTCTATAAAAATATCAAATGCATTTTTCAAAGATAATAATGTATGAAATTTGGCTTTTAAGATTATTAGAACTCTCAAGAAAACCAAACAGCATTGAGAATAATAATACAGCTTAAGGCATCTATTACACATTTGCAAAAAAGAAAAGTCTTTAGTCATTTCTATGTCTTATATACAATATTAGTAGGTAATGTGTGTGGATGTTATTTCATGATTTGCACATTTAATTATTATATCATCAAATTTTGAAAGGTGTATTCAACAATAGTACTTTCATGATTATTGAACATTCACACTTGACTAAACAAAATATTATGCCAAAATTGTTATACCTTGGAAAAATGAAATGTTACTGTTCACTTAAAGCATACTTCTTTAATTGTCCATGAGTTGATGTCTCAGTTTATTTGAGCTGCTATATCAAAATGCCAGAGACTGGGTGGCTTAAAAGCAACACACATTTATTTCTCAGCGTTCTAGAGGCTGGGAAGTCCAAGATCAAGCCACTATGATCAATCTGATGATTGAGTGTCTGGTGAGGGCCTTCTCCTTGGCTTATAGATGGCTGTCTTTTTACTATATCCTCACATGATGGAAATGACAAAGGAGATCTCTGAGTTCTCTTTTATAAGGGCACTGGCCTATTCCTGAGAGCACCACTTTTATGACCTAATCACCTCTCAAAGATCCTACCTCCAAACACCACCACAGCAGAAATTAGGCTCCAACATGTGAGTTTGGTGGTGGTGGGTGAGGCACAAACATTCAGTCCATAGCAGTCAATAATTGTTGAAAATAGGTGACAGATAGATGTTAGTTCATAGTACTATTTCTTCTACTTCAGTGTATCTTCAAAAATTTTAATAGTAAGTGTTAAAAATAACTGTTTACCTAAAAGGTTTTGATGTGACATGTGTGTATATCACTTCATTCGCCTTAAATAGATTAGAATATCATTCATATTTCTTCAACTACTCTGGAATCTATGGTTTAGTTTGTAAGATACAATTTGGTGATAGACACAAATCAGTAAACTGAAGAAATCAATGTGAAGATATTAATACCTATGTAATGCTCAGAAGGCTTTAAACATTTGTATGTCACCAATATGGTAAAAATTATTTATATATGTATATACTCTTCAGGAATTACTTTAGAGACAATCACAATGTTACATGTAAATTCTATAAAAATGTTTTAAGATAACACACACTTATTTTTCTTAGGGAAATAAAGGTAATTAAGAGAATTAAAAGAATTAACAACTCGAAAAAGATTTAAACAGGTGGAAAAATATACTGAGACAGAAATTTTTTGTATCCTTCAAATTGTTTTCTCTTCTTAATTAACCCACAGCTGGGTGACATTGTCCAGCATCCCTACACCATCCAGGTGTGGTCATGTGACTGAATCCAAGTGGAAGGATTGCTGCATACAAAATTACACCACTTTCAAGCCCACCTCATTGTAGTAGTCTATTTTCTGTTGCTTATAAAAGAACACCTGAAACTGAGTAATTTATAAGAAATGGAATTTACGTTTTACAGTTATGGAGACTGAGAAGTCCACAGTCAAGGGGCCACAGCGGGTGAGAACCTTCTTACAGATGAGAACCCTCTGAAAAGTCCTAAGGTGGTTCAGGGTATCACATGACGAAGGGGCTCAGCATTCTAATGTGCTAGCTCAGGTCTCTCTTCTTCTTCACCAGTTCCTCTCCCATGGTAACCCATTAATCCATTAACTCATTACTTCATTATCTCCTTAATCCATGAGTGAATTAATAAATTCATGCAAACAGAGCCCTCATACTTCAATCACCTCTTAAAAGTCATCCCCCATCATTGGGAATTAAGTTTTAACATGAGTTTTGGAGAGGATATTCAAAACATATTACCAATAAACTATTTACCACATCATACCCTGTCATGCTCTCTGCCCATCTATCAACTAGATGTTGACAGTCAGGTAAACCTTGTTGTCCAGTTGAAGAAAATAGCATAATGGCCAGCAGTGTTGGTTCCTGAATCATTGTGTAGAACCTGTTTGCCTCTATCACCACTCTCTCTGAAGTCTATCAATGTAACCCTATACTGAACAATTAGATGAGCAAAAAACTAAACTTCTATTGTGTTAAGCCTCTGAAAGGTCGAGGTTTACTTGTCTTGGCAATTAGTATCCTTTAATAAAGCAATTGCCAGCTTTTACTAGAGTACTATTATAACAAAATCTCTAACATGTGTCTCTGTGTTAGCTCTTAGTTGATGGGCACAGAAGAAACAAATATAGCAAGTTGGGAGGCTGAAACAAATTGTTACTGCTTGGTAACACATTTGGTTAAAATTTTCTTCAATAATAAATTGGAAGGCATACCATGTGCCTACTGAGTTGCAACTCTAAGGAAATATGGTTGGAAAGATCCATGGTTAGTTGTGTGTTTCTGATTATTGATTACCTTTACAAGGTATAAACCAAAAGAAATGAGCTTGGCAGGAATTGGCCAAGAAGAAAGGAAATAGAAAAAATCCAGAAATGAAGGGCCTTAGAGGATTGGGAAAGACAGCTGACAAAAAGTAAATAATAAATTTGAAAACAGATTTCAGTCTTTGCAAGGTGTTTTACAAAATATTATTTTTATACATAATAATTATACTGGGCTTTGGGGAAAATGAAAGGCAGAATTTAGGAAGTTCATCAAATTTTAAAAAGTGAGGTATTTTTGTGTGTGTGTGTGTTAGTTTTTCTTATTGTGTGATACATTACCACTGACAGAGCAGCTGAAAGCAGCACCCACGTATTAGCTCATAGTTCAGTAAGTCAGTTGACCATGGCATGACTGCGTTCTCATTCTCTGCTCAGGGTATTGTTATAAGACTGGAATAAAAGCATTATCCAGTCTGAGTTCTCATCTGGATGCTCTAGGTGGGGAAAATGTTTCCAAGTTTATTATTTGTGCCAAAATTTAGTTTCTTGTTGTTGAAGGACTGAGGACTCTATTTACATTCTGGCTGTCAGCCAGAGACCACTGTCAGCCTCCACAGGGCACACACTTTCCTTGCCATGTGGCTACCTCTATCCATGTAAACAATGACACATTATTTCCTACTTGCGCCTCAAATCCCTGAATTCCATTTTTGCAAACAGCTGGAGAAAACACGTTTTAAACATGTTTTAAAGGCCTCTCCTAACTAGGTCAGGGTCCCTGGATTATTTCCCCAACCTTAAAACAACAGATTTGGAATCTTAAATGCAACTTCAAAAGCCCTTCACAGTAATACCTAGACTAGTATTTCATTTAGTAACTGGAAGAAAGTGTGTGTACACCAGGGTCCTGGAATCTTGGGGAGCCATCTTATAAGTCTTCTTATCACACTGTGGTCATAAAATTATTAAATATTGTCCATATACTATAGTCTTTCCAAGTTGGCTCATATTCTACATTTATGTATTTATTACATGCTTTCAGACATTCTATAGTAAAGAAACTATCTTAGATTTATTTGTGACCACCATTCTTTTGTCTCATTCACCTATTAAAACATGTCTTCATCACCCACTAGGTGGGCCGTGGGAACCTCTTCTCTAGATCAACTTTCTATTTGCTGAAGCCATGTGTATGAGTGGTTAAGAAAGGGAGGAAAATTAAATTATTATTATTTTATTATCATTATTAGGGATATATTTATTTCTTGGAGTCCAAGATAAAAGGTTTCTCTTATTGTGCAAAAATAAAATAAAATAAAATAAAATAAAATAAAATAAAATAAAATAAAATAAAATAAAATAAAATGAAATAAAATAAAAAAATAAAATAAAATATAATAAAATGCCCCAAAATTTCTTGTGCAGCTTTCTAATCCCCCAGCAGCCATAACTTAGAAATAGCTCACTGCCATTATTGTTTTCATAGATTTTTTCTCTCAATTTTATTTTTTATTCCTTTTTTTTCTAACCACTGATTTGTCATAGCCTCATCAACTTATGGCATAAGATAAAAAAAATTTAATTTTGAGAGTCTATAAATAGTGATTGAAAATGTTGTCAGGGACAATTATTCTCATCTCATCACAAATACTTCTAACTTGATTTACATTTAACTTTAAACATTTAAGTGTCTAATAAATATGACATTGAAACAAACTATTAATTTATCATCAGAATGATGTTACATAATTTTATTCAAGAATATGATCGTTCACTTTGATTTAAATAAAAGATCTAAACAGAAATGGAATGTTTCTCTATACATAGCAAGTAAATATTTCGAAATAGAACAACCTTAAAGCAGAGATAATTTTTACATAGAGAACTAGATTTTTATCTTGAGACTGTGTTTTCTTCTCTAGATAAATAAGTGTCTTTCTCTGTAAAGGAAGATTTTTGTTACTGCCTTATATCCTTGCTATTCTTTTTGACTATTGTAGTAGTTCATTCTCACACTGCTATGAAAAAATGCCTGAGACTGGGTAATTTATAAAGGAAAGAGGTTTAGTTGACCCGCAGTTCTGCATTGCTGGGGAGGCCTCAGGAAACTTACAATCATGGCAGAAGGCAAAGGAGAAGCAGGCACCTTCTTCACAGGGCAGCAGGACACAGTTAGTGCAAGCTGGGAAAATGCCGGATGCTTGTAAAACCATCAGATCCCTTGAGAACTCACTATCACAAGAACAGCATGGGCATGGGGAAAACACCCCCATGATTTAATTACCTCCACCTGCTCCTGCCCTTGACATGTCGTGATTATGGGGATTACAATTTGAGGTGAGATTTGGATGGGGACACAGAGTCAAACCATATCAACTAATAAGAGGAAACAGTATCACAGGACATATTATAAATATCTCAGGGCCTGAACATTTGAGTAGTAATTGGTTATCAATGAATGTAGGGACTTGACATCCAAACTAAGCCTCTAGTATTTAAGTTAGAAGTTAGTTAGGATACAGTTCTCTCCACGTATGTAAAATAGAGAACAAATTACTACAAGGAAAACAAAATATTGCTTTCCAGTGTTCTCAAAATGATAAATCTAATTTCCAACAATACTAGAAATCTATTATACTGGTGCTGTGAATTGTTACTACAGTTTATATTACAATTTTAAGTTTATCTATGGTTAATCTTCTTTTAAACACAGATCAATTTACCTCAAATTGCCTGTTGGGGCCATGGCTAGCATGCTTGGAAAGTCCAACAGAGTTAAGAGTAAATTAAGGATGTAAATAGTTTGCATACAACTCCTATCCTTTATCTTTTAGAAATGTTACCCATATTCAACCAACAGAGGGAAAAATGAGGTCTAAGAAGGATGAATTGCCAGATTTTATTAAGTTGAAGTATGTGGGGTGCATTGCTACCATTCAAGCACTCACATTTCGTTAGCTCACTCATCTGGCGTGATTCCATTTTTATGTCCTAAACTCTCTAGACTGAATGAATGCATGACTGCTATATCAGGCAGCCTGTGCAAAATACTTGACTTCAGCAAATCTTTGACAAGCACCATTCATTAATCTTTGTTTCATAATTCTCACCAGTATGCACACCCTGCTTTTCTGTTCGTATCTGCAGGTAAATTGGTTTTTCAGAAAATGAAGAGGTCAGCAGAAGATGTTGGAGCATACATTTTTCTGTTGAAACAAATCAGTAGATTTGGACAGCAATGTCAATGGTTAAAATTAGTAGAACTTGCCCATTTTTCAACTGAATCATCAATTTATATTAGCAGCAATATTGTTTGGGTTCCCATGTAGTAACAAAAATAAACTTACTTATACTAAAAGTATGGATAACTCTTAGCTTACACACACTTAACGCCTTAAAATATAGTTACAAACAACAGACTTCAGCTGTCATAAATGTTATTAGTGCCTAATTTTTAGGTCCAAAGGTAAGTTATCAGATTTATCTTTCCCATAACAGTGAATTAGGTACTTGAACAAATCCACATGATAAGAACAAATAGAAAAACTGGAGAGTATATACAGAAAATATATGTTGTAAGATATAGAGCAACCAGGGTAATAAAAGTCTGGATCTGTGAGGAAAAACTAAACAAAACAATACTTTTATCTAAGTATTTGAGGCCCTAATTTACTTAGCAGGCTTAGAATTTTAGAGGAAGTTTGAACAGACTTACAAGGCTAGGGGGACAAAAGTTGGAATTTAGGATCTACCAGGGACTGGGAGCCCTGATGGACCTGACAAGTATTACAGAGGTCACCCAAAGAATTATAGCTTAGTAGAAGATATTCAGATAAACAAACCCTTAGTAAGACAGAAACACAGCTTCAAATTGTCACAAATGTAGAATGATTAAATTGATTTGGAATTGCTCTTGCCTTAGCCCCCTGGCAGAATAAAATACAAATGTTCTGTGAAGAACACTTCATCCAGAGCTCAAAACATCTCTACTATTTTTATCTACAATACCTAGCACTTAATCAAAAATAAGCATGCTTATTGAGCAAGAAAATGTAATATTAGAGACAGACTCAGAGGGAATCTAGATTTAAAAAAATCAGATCTGGATTTTAAAAGGTAAGACTACAGTAATATATTAAAGAAAATACGAGATGAGTTTAAGAAATTTGATACATATCTTTCAAAAGCAACCAAATGGAAATTCTAGAGCTGAAGATTATAAATAACAGAAATTAAAAAACTGAAAGGTGAGATTAATACATTAATCACAGCTGGGGAAAATGCAAATGGAAATATGGGTCAGAAGAAATACTCGTAATGAACCATGAATAGGTTGAAGGAAAGTATACATAAAAAGTGTACAAGAGACATAGAAGATATAAGTATGACTGGTTTGATAACTATGATAGGTTTATCATACTTGTAATTGAAGTATTTGAAGGAGATAGAGAGAAAATAAAATAGAAGCAATACTTGGTGACATTATGGCTGAGTATTTTCAAAATTTTGGTTGGAGATATTCAGCAACAACACTATGGAATCAAGGCAAGCTGGATAAACATACAGCAAGGCATATCTAGGCCAAGCATAGTAATTCTGTTGAAAGCGTCCTTCCCTCTAAAACGAAAAGAAAACAAAACAAAGCAAAACCACAACAAACAGGAAAAATGGTTTAAAATAACCAAAGAATGAAAAAGCAACACTAAAGCTAAGAGCTGACTCTTCAATAAAAGCCAGAACTATTATAATACTTCACCTCTTCCTGCATAATTTGCAATGCAATTTCTGTCCTATTTTCATAAATAAGTCAGGCTATTTATTTGTACTTGAGCATAAATACAATAATGTTTTATTTAATAAAATTTTGTAATAGATCATCTCACTCCTTGTATTTCTTTCATGTCAAAAATTTGCTTATACTTGGCTCTTTGTTCCAGCACTTAAAATACAGAATTAGCTTGCCAACTTCCAAATAATACCCAGTTGTGATTTGACTAAAATCAAAGTGAATACCCAAATCAATCTGTGGAATGCAGATATTGTCATAGTACTGAGTTTCCCAAAAAGATGTTTATATAATCTTTAATTCCTTACAATAGAGCTCTTGTATATCTTTGTTGGATTTATTTCTAAACGTGTCTATTTTTGAGCATACGATATGAGTACTTTAAGTTGTTTTCAACGTTTTTTGGTAAAAAGAAATGGAGTTGGCACGTATTTAGGGCCCTTATAACAAAATACCTTGCTTAACACCTTTTTTTTTTCTTTAAGTCAATGTTGTTCCATCACCCAGGCTTGAGTGAAGTGGTGGGATCATAGTCTACTGCAGTCTCAAACCCCTGGGCTCAAGCTATCCTCCTGCCACAGCCTCCTATGTAGCTAGGAGTACTGGAAATAGGCCACCACACCCAGGTAATTTTTTTGTAGAGACCAAGTCTCTCTACGTTGCCCAGGCTGGTCTTGAACTTCTCACCTCAAGCAAACCTCCCACCTCACCCCCTGAAAGCACTGGGATTACAGGTATGAGTCACTGTGCCCAGCCCTAAACATCCTATTAAACAAAATATAAATGGTAGGGACTTTTTTTTAATGTATAGTTTCAGATCTACTCAAAATGTGACTTGTGGACTGAGGCTGTTCCACCCAGCGTACACTGCTCATCTGCAAGGAAGTATGTGAAGAAATTCAGAATAAGCATAGCAAAATTTTCATAGAAATGTAGAATTGTCACAGCATCTTAGTGTATTATTAGTGTATTATTATTATATTTTACAAAAAAAGGGTCATAAATGGTTTATCAAAAAACTTCTGGCCCTTTACCACAGGTCATTTGAGAAGTGTGAATGTTAATACCATATGCTGGAAAAGACAGCTTTGTTTACATTATTTCCCAGTTTTACTGGTTCATCTTTCCTGCAGTGGTGACTGATTGCCCCTTTCCTACTTGCAACCACAGAGGGAGACTATCTTCAATTTCCCATCCACGGATTCTATATTGCCATGTGAACCCTTACTCAGCTTTTAGTAATTCATTAAAGTATTGGTTCTTTTATTCTTATGTACTTGATGGTGGCCACATATATCTCCAGTTGGTCTCTCCTTGGCTTTCAGGTTATATTGCTGTTCTGTGATCTCCGCTCTGATATGGGTTAAAAAGAAGTTATTACTTTATAGTTCTCGTAGCTTTTTCCCTTCCATAGTTCAGAGAGGAGTGATGCACTTGTCCAATTATGTAAGTTTACACACTATTCTGGCACTTTACCTCTCTTATTTAGTCCAAATCCAACAATTAAATATATTTAATGATTATCCACAAACCTCATGCTGAAGCTTCTTCTCAAATCCTTTTTTGTTGTCTGAAGGTCATTCTCTAAGAGTTTCTCAAGAAGTTCTCATGGGAACAATTATTCCTGAGTTCTTGCATTTTCATAACCGTTCATAGCCATTGTGCTTGAAGGAGAATTTGGCTGGCTACAGCGTCTTTGATATGCTTTCTGTTTTTGAAACCATTTTTAAAAGTTTCCCTATTGCTTTTAGAAGTGTAATGAAAATCTATTGTAATTTTCTGCCTTTTCTTTGTCAGGATATCCAAGAAATGATTGTTTATCTTTATTTTCCAACAGTGTCACTAGAATATATCTCAGTATTCATAATAGTGATTAAAATTTTTAGGTGTAGAGTGTGGCTTCCTAGGATGGCAGTTATTCTTTTTTAGCATAGTACTATTTTTTAGTTTACATTGTTGCTGTTATAAATAATCTGTCCACCTAATGCAATCCTTTCAAGATTCCTTTTAAGATGGTCTCTCCCCCCACCCAGAATTCTGCTCCTTTTAAGAATTTGTGATTGCGTTTTATTTTCTGCAATATTATTACAAATGTCTACGCGTAGATTTCTTTTCTAATTGTTCCCGTTTAGAGTAAATTGGGATCTTTGATTCTATGGCATATAGTTTTCATCAGTTCTGAAAATAGCCATTGTCTTTCACATATTGTCTATTTCTCATTATTTCTCTCTTCTTTTGTATTCTGTACAAATGCATATTAGATGATTCCTATTTCTACTATATATTTTTTTTATATTTTATTGAGAGTCTCACTCTGTTGCCCAGGCTGGAGTACAGTGGCATGATCTCGGCTCACTGCAACCTCCACCTCCTGGGTTCAAGAGATTTTCCTGCCTCAGCCTCCTGAGTAGTTGGGATTATAGGCCCCCACCACCACGCCCGGCTAATTTTTGTATTTTTTTAGTAGAGACAGTTTCACCATGTTGGCCAGGCTGGTCTCGAACTCTTGACCTTGTGATCCGCCCGCCTGGGCCTCCCAAAGTGCTGGGATTACAGGCATGAGCCACTGCGCCCGGCCTATTCCTACTGTATTTTTCATATGTTTAAATCTGTGTTTTCAATTTGGAATAAATTTCATTGACTTTTTTCAGCTTACTAATTGTGTTTTCAGTTTTCTCTAAATAGTCGTAAAATCAGTCTGTATTATTTTAATTTTAGTTAATATGTTTTTTACTTCTAGGTGACCTTTGTGTTTATAGATTTGCTTCTTATTCAAATGTACCTAGATCATTCTGATAATCTCTTTTCTGTCAGAAACTCTGACTCAGGATATGTATTTTCTTGTCAACTTAATTTTTTGTTAATATTCTATTTTTAAAAATGAATCTTGGAGATTATTTGAAGGCTTGACTTAAAGTTTTGTGGGGTTTTTTTTTTTTTTTTTTTTTTTTGAGACTGTTTCTGTTGTTTCTCTCAGGTAAGTATAGCAAGGGCCTGACTAGGACCACTTCCAGCTCAATGTTCATCTTGTTATTTCAGCACTACTTCATACATTCTGGTATCAAGCAAGTTTGGAAGCAGAATGTAGTTAAGAAATCCCAGGAGACATATTTATATTTTTTCAAGAAAGTGTCCCAAACATCTCCTTCTGTATTTTAGGATTTTTTGAGACATACTCAGTTGAAGGTAAAGCCTTCCCAGAGTTCCAACTTTAGAAAGATCTTTTTGATCCAATCCCCTGTCTAGACTTTGCCCTGTTGATAGTGCACAGACAGTTAAACCAAAGTTCCAGACCACCTCAGACCAAAGGTCAGCAGATGCTTCTAGAGCAATTTAGTGCTTTCTTATGTCTGTTGAATTGCATGTTATTTTCAATTTGGGGGATTCTTATTTTCTTATTACTCTATGCATTTTTTAAAGATGAATTTTAAAATTTTATCCAGCATACGTTGTGTTCCACATTGGAAATTTTTACCACTATGTGTAGTTTGGGATTCTACTTAAAATAGAAACATGATTGCCTCTTCTGCAGAGAACTTTTGAGATGGGATTATTAAATTAGAGCATAAATTTATTTGAGGTTTAGGTTTATAGAAATTTTACACCTTATTGGTCTGCATTTCTGCATAATGGGAGACATCTCACCTGCCCTCCTTGGGCCCACAGTTACATTTATAAAACCATTTTTTCCCCGTGACTTTTCATTGTAAAGAGCTGCTTATCTTCCAATTGTTGTTTCTGACCCTTTTGTTTTTTGGGATTTAGATATTCTGTTCCCAATTTTGTTATTTTGGAAAACTTTCCTGAAAGAAATTACATTAACATTTGTATTAAATATTAATAAAACAACTGGACTCAATATATGGAATTTATCATTTCTGAGGGAATAAATCTATTTAATATATCAAAGAATACATTTTCTATAACAGAAAGAAAGTACAAATAGAATGAATATGTGTGATGAATTTGCAATGTCTGCCATGGTTCTTTTATTGTACAGGAACAGAGCAAAAATAATTCAAATTCTTCCATTGTGTTTGTACTTCCCAGTGAGTAATACTATCTCTTCCATTTTTGTCTTTGGACTCCAGTGTATCTTTTATGTTAATTTATCATGTTTAATAGGTGAGAGGTTTGTGTTTTGCCTTAGAAAAGAACTGATAAAATTTGCATTGTACAATACCCAAGAGATGATGATGGCATTTTTTCTTGTTCATTTCATATTACAGTGTTCTGAAATGTATTATCAATGGAACTCTACACAAAAAGACTATTTAAGAGATTATATTGTTCTTCATTACATAGTGATCTGTGACATACTAAAAGCATATGACTGCTCCATGCTTTTAATTATTAAAACTATACCTATATAAAATGGATTTTAGCATATAGGAATTTCATTTATATTAAAACACAGAAGAAACTAATAATATAATTTAATACTTATAAATTTCCAAAACTCCCTCAATTAAAGTATAATATGTTGAAATGCTATTGGAAAGCTTATAAAAATATATGACAATTTTTATTGGCAAGCTACTTATTAAAATAGACTATAAATTGTTTTCTTCACGATATGTGTAACACTTTCTTATTAGAGATAGCTTTCGTATCTTTAAGTGAGCAGCTTTTCTCTTTTAACACATTTTAAGATGACTTATAGAATTGTTTTGAATTTTCTACCACTTAAGTTTCTGTTTTCTGGGTGGATACCTGATAGAAATAATCCATATCAAAGTATGTCTTATGCACTATTATTAGCTTACATTTATAGATCTTATACTTTACAAAACACTTAATTTTTGCATTATCGAATCCAGTTAATGTATTTATATTAATAGATTCTCATGGAGATATAATATCCTAAATAACAGATGAAATTTTAAACACCCTCTCAGGTAAGTATAGGAAGGGCCTGACTAGGACCACTTCCAGCTCAACCTTCAACTTGTTATTTCAGCACTACTTCATAAATTCTGGTGTCAAGCAAGTTTGGAAGCAGAATGTAGTTAAGAAATCCCAGGAGACATATCTATATTTTTTCAAGAAAGTGATGGTTTATATATAAGAGCAAGCAGTTCTTTTTTGTTTTTAATTTTATTTTACTTTAAGTTCTGGGATGCATGTGCAGAATGTGCAGGTTTGTTACATAGGTATACATGTGCCATGTTGGTTTCCTGCTCCTATGAACCCATCATCTAGGTTTCAAGCCCTAGGTTTTAAGCATTAAGTATTAAGCCCTAGGTTTCAAGCATTAGGTATTTGTCCTAATGAAGAGCAGGCAGGTCTTTTACTATTCCCAGCTTCTTACTCCATTGACAGAGAGGGCCAGGCATCTAAACGTTGCCCTTACACAATGAAAAGCACATACATTGGCAGAACCCTGTTGATGAAAAATGTAAGCATTCCATAAACAGAGAAGAAGAACACAACTTTTGCTTATTCTCTTTTGAAAACTAAATTTCTATCAAAACTCTGAAAATGTACAGATAGAATATATATAAATATGTGTATATGAATATATGTGTATATACATATATATGCACTCAAGCTAAAATGACATAGTCTTTATTTTAAATCCTGCTGGACTTTAGTCTAAAAATTCATAATAGTATTTGATTTTTAAATACAATGAAGTAAAAATCAACCAGATCTAACCCAGAGTTCTCACAATCTTCATAATTGCAATTTTAATTCACTTTAGAACTATTTATTCTAGTTACTTACTTTTTATTTTTATTTTTTTTTGTGATGGAGTCTCGCTTTCGTCACCTAGGCTGGAGCGCAACGGCACGATCTCAGCTCACTGCAACCTCTGCCTCCTGGGTTCAAGCGATTCTCCTGCCTCAGCCTCCCAAGTAGCTGGGATTACAGGTGCCTGCCAACACACCCAGCTGATTTTTGTATTTTTAGTAGAGATGAGATTTCACCATGTTGGCCTGGCTGGTCTCGAACTCCTGACCTCAGGAGATCCACCAGCGTTGGCCTCCCAAAGTGCTGGGATTACAGGCATGAGCCACCGCACCCGGCCTATTCTAGTTACTTTCTTTTCCCTTTAAGAATAACATAAATTAACTTTGGATATAGTTTGGATATCTGTACCCTCCAAATCTCATGTTGAAATGTGACCCCCAGTATTCATGGGGCCTGGCTGGGAGGTGTTTGAGTCATGGGGGCAGATCTCTCATGTATGGCTTGGTGCCCTCCTCATGGTAATGAGTGAGTTCTTGCTCTATTTGTTTGCAAGAGAAGTGATTGTTTAAAAGAGCCTGGCTCCTCCTCCACCTGTTTCCCTTGCTTCCTCTCTTGCCATGTGACACATCTGTGCTCCCTTTGTCATCTGCCATGGTAGAAGCTACAAGAAGCCTCACCAAAAGCTGACCAGATACTAGTGTCATGCTTGTGTGACCTGCAGAATTGTGAGCCAAATAAACATCTTTTCCTTATAAATTTTCCAGTCTCAGGTATTCCTTTAGAGCAGTGCAAAATGGACTAACAACCTTAATAAAGCATTAAAAAAGTGCCAAAATGTATTACAATTGCTCTGTTACTTAAAAGCTTATGTTATACTCTCAATTATATGATTAAACACATTTTAAGAAAAACAATTTAGTATTTAATTGATAGGAACTATCAATCATACATTTTGTGGTAATATTCAAATATTAAACATTTACAGTCTCATGGTGGCTAACAGAAAATCTTTTGAAATTATGTAACTTAAGATCTGTACAGAATTATATTAGAGAGACACCCTAGATCTTCTAGTTGTATAGTCTAATGTCCTTTAGAAAGGAAACAGTTATAGATGTGTGGTGTTATTTCTGAGGCCTCTGTTCTGTTCCATTGGTCTATATACCTGTTTTGGTACCAGTATCAAAGAGTTACTGTTTTGGTACAGTAACTCTTTTGGTTACTGTAGCCTTGTAGTATAGTTTGAAGTCAGGTAGCACGATGCCTCCAGTTTTGTTCTTTTTGCTTAGGATGGTGGTGGCTATGCAGCACTATTTACAATAGCAAAGACTTGGAACCAACCCAAATGTCCATCAATGACAGACTGTATTAAGAAAATGTGGCACTTATACACCATGGAATACTATGCAGCCACAAAAAAGGATGAGTTCATGTTCTTTGCAGGGACATGGATGAAGCTGGAAACCATAATTCTAAGCAAACTACCACAAGGACAGAAAACCAAACACTGCATGTTCTCACTCATAGGTGGGAATTGAACAATGACAACACTTGGACACAGGGTGGAGAACATCACACACTGGGGCCTGTTGGGGGGTGGGGGGCAGGGAGAGGGATAGCATTAGGAGAAATACCTAATGTAAATGACAAGTTGATGGGTGCAGCAAACCAACATGGCACATGTATACCTATGTGCACGTTGTGCACATGTACCCTAGAACTTAAAGTAAAATAAAAAAAAAAAGAAACTGTTATATTTAAACAAGACCTTTCCTCCAAAATACTATTAAATTTAAAAAATGAGTAATAATTAATGTTATCACAGTAAAATAAAAATGTATATATTTATATAACATTTGCTCATTACACATGATTTTTCTAATATGTTCATTTCTTCAAACTATGGTTACAAATACATCATCATTAGGAATACAAATGTATTCATGTGTGTAAGAGTAGTATTATATTTATAGATAAAATAGACAAGATATTTTTGAACTCATAAATACAATCATATATAAATTTTAAAAAATTGGAATCCAATAATTCATTATTCAAAAATTGATCTAATTATTACAGTATTTGGTGAGATAGTGTACACTAACAAAATTTAACTAAAATTTTGGGTTTAAAAATTAATTTTATCTTGTAAATTTCAAGTAGTATGTTAAGACATCCTGTCTACTTTCAAAACATGTTTGCTTACATAAATATTAAAGATATGCTTCTAAATAAACTCATATTGTAGCCCAGTGGTTATACAGTTTTCTGTCTTGGTGATTATAAATAAGAGACCTAGGCTATCTTTGATTCTTTAGTTGGAATTTAGCCCAAAGGCAAAAGGTAGATTGAATAGCCTCTTTTTGTTCTTTTCTTTGGCACCGGTGGTTCATCAAAATCCAATCTGTGAAGATGCAAGATATTCAGAATTCTCTTATTCTGTCTACTACTCTCATGATATAGGTACTAAGAGAAGAACATGGGTAAATGGTGTGACACTGAGGTTTGGGATATGAATAATCCCATCATGTAGGGTGTGAGCGTAATATCCATGTAACAAACTCGCACATGTACTCTCTGAACCTAAAATACAATTTGAGATTTAAAAAGAAGAAGAAGAAGGAGGAGGAGGAAGAGGAGGAGGAGAAGGAGGAGGAGGAGGAGAAGGAGGAGGAAGGAGAAGGAGAAGGAGAAGAAGGAGAAGAGAGGGAAGGGAGAGGGAGAGGGAGAGGGAGAAGAAGGAGAAGGAGAAGGAGAAGGAGAAGGGACCAAAGAACTATAACAGGATTGGGGTGGGAGTTTTTATCTCTTCTTTCGTGACCTTCAATCACAAATGTGTCCAAAATATATGTATTTAAATGTAGATATGTTTCCGAAAGTTCTCTGAACACATCAGAGGGCTCTTTTTTAGAGAGAGAAGGTCTGTGGGGCTCTAAGACCAGTGAAAGAGCAACACGGAAAGGACTAGAGAAGTAGAGTTATCCTATATCCCCTTTGGGAGTGGGGCTGAATTACCTTGACATGACATATCATGACATTTTATAGAAACTTTGCCTTTCAGCTATGAGGGAGCTGATAAAAAGGTTTAATAACCTCTCCTTGCTCACTTCATAACACTGACAATTAGTTCTCTTGTAAAATTAACTAATGTTTTGTCTTAACTTTTTTTAATTATTAAAATTTAATTTTTGTAGGTACATAGTATATATTTATGAGGTACCTGAGATATTTTGATACAGGTATGCAATGTGTAATAATCACATGATGGAAAATGGCATATCCATCTCCTCAAGCATTGATCCTTTGTGTTCAAATGTGTTCAAATTATACTCTTTTAGTTATTTGAAACTGTACAATTACATTATTATTGAGCATAGTCACCCAGTCGTGCTACCAAAAACTAGATTTTATTCATTCCTTCTATTTTTTGTACCTATTAACCATCCCCACCTCTCACCCATTTCCCCAGTATCCTTCCTAGCCGCTTGTTACCATCATTCTACTCTATCTCCATGAGTTCAATAGTTATGATTTTTAGATCCCACAAACAAGTGAGAACTTGTGATGTCTCTCTTTCTGCACATGGCTTATTTCACTCAACATAAAGACTTTCAGTTCATGTTTCTGCAAATGAGACGAACTCATTCTTTTTATGGCTGAATAGTACTCCATTGTGTATAAGTACCACATTTTCTTCATCTATTCATCTGTTAGTGGACACTTAGCTTGCTGCTACTAAATCTTGGGTGTTGTGATCATTCCTGCAACATACATGGGAGTGCAGATATCTCTTTAGTGTACTGCTTTCCTTTATTCTGGGTATATACCCAGCAGTAGGATTGCTGGATCAAATAGTAGCTCTATTTTTAGTTTATTGAGGAACCTACAGACTGTTCTCTATAGTGATTGTACTAATTTAAATTCCACCAACAGTTTATGATTGTTCCCTTTTCTCCACCTTTTGGCCAGCATTTGTTATTGCTTATCTTTTGAATATAAGCCATTTTAACTGGGGTGAGATGATATCTCATTGTGATTTTGATTTGCATTTGTCTGATGATCAATGATATTGACCACCTGTTCATATACCTGTTTGCCATTAATATGTCTTATTTATATGTCTATTCAAATCCTTTACCCATTTAAAATCAGATTATTAAAGTTATTAATCCCTTGTCAGATGGGTAGTTTGCAAATAGTTTCTCTCATTCTGTGAGTTCTCTTCACTTTGTTGATTGTATCTTTTTCTGTGCAAAAATTTTTTAACTTAATGTGATCCCATTTGTCTATTTTTGCTTTAGTTGCTTGTGTTTGTGAGGTATTACTCAATAAATTTTTGCCCAGAACAATGTCCTGGAGATTTTCCCCAATTATTCTTGTAGTAGTTTCATAGTTTGAGGCTTTAGATTTAAGTCTTTAATCCATTTTGATTTGATTATTGTATATGGTGAGAAATAAGGGTCTAGTTTCCTCCTTCTCCATATGGGTGTCCACTTTCCCAACACCATTTATTGAGGAGACTGCTTTTTCCTTAATGCATGTTCTTGGCACGTTTGTCAAAAATCAGTTCATTGTTGGTGTGTGGATTTGTTTTTGAGTTTTCTATTCTGTTCCGTTGGTCTATGTGTCTGTTTTTATGACAGTACCATGGTGTTTTGGTCGCTATAGCTCTGTAGTATAATTTGAAATCGGGTAATGTGATTCTTTCAGTGTTGTTCTTTTTGTTCGGATAGCTTTGGCTATTCTGGGTCTTTTGTGGTTCCATATAAATTTTAGAACTTTTTTTCTATCTGTGAAGAATATCATTGTTATTTTGATAGTGATTGTATTAAATCTTTACATTGCTTTGGGTAGAATACATATTGTAGCAATATTAATCCTTCAAATCCATGAACATGGAATATTTTCTCCATTTTTTTGATGTCCTCTTCAATTTCTTTCATCAATGTTTTATAGTTTTCATTATAGAGATCTTCTACTTCTTTAAGTAAATTAATTCCTAGGTATTTAATTCTATTCATGGCTATTATAAGTGGGATTACATATTTTTTCTTGTTAAGATTGTTCAATGTTGCCACATAGAAATGCCACTGTTTTCTTTATTTTGATTTTGTGTCCTTCAAATTTACTGAGTTTGTTTATTAGCTCTAGTAGTTTTCTGGTGATGTCTTTAGGTAATTTTTGAATTGTAAGGTAACATGGACTGCAAAAAAAAGGATAATTTGACTTCTTCCTTTCCAATTTGGATTCTTTTTATTTCTTTCTTTAGTCTGATTGCTCCAGGTAGGATATCCAGCACTATGTTGAATAACAATGGTGAAAGTGGGAATCCTTGTCTTGTTCCAGATATTAAAGGAAAGACTTTTAGTTTCTCCTCATTCAGTATCATACTACTTGTGGGTCTGATGTTTATGGCTTTTATTATGTTGAAGTGTGTTTCTTCTATAGCCAGTTGTTTTAAGTTTTGTTTTTTTTTTTATCATGAAGGGATGTTTAATTTTATCAAGTGCTTTTTTTCAGCATCAGTTGAAATGGTCATATGTTTTTGCCCTTCATTCTGTTGATATGATATATCACATTGATTGATTTGCATATATTGAACCATCCTTGCATCCCAGGGATAAATTCACTTGATTATGATGAATGATATTTCCAATTTATTGTTAAATTCAGTTTGCAAGTATTTTGCTGAGGATTTTTGCATCAATATTCATCAGAGATATTGGTCTGTAGTTTTCTTTTTTGATTTGTCTTTGTCTGGTTTTGGTATCAGGGTAACACTGGCCTCATAGAATGAAAGTGAAAGCATTTCCTCCTCCTGTATTTTTTTAAATAATTTGAGTAGGACTGGTATTGATTCTTTTTGAAATGTCTGGTAGAATCTAGTATTGAAGCCATTTGGTCCTGGGTTTTTCTTTACTGGGAGACTTTTTGTTATGGCTTTGATCTTGCTACATTTTATTGGTCTATTTGTATATTTTAATTCCTTCATGTTTTAGTCTTGGTAGAGTGTATGTGTCTATGAATTTATTAATTTCTTCTAGATTTTCCAACTTGTTGGCATATAGTTGCTTATAGTAACCTCTAATAATCTGTTGAATTACTGATGTATCAGTTGTAATGTGCCCTTTATTTGCTATGATTTTATTTATTTGGGCCTTCAATCTTTTTTTCTTAGTCTGGCTAAAGGTTGGTCAACTTTGTTTAACTTTTTTAAAAAGCAACTTTTGTTTACCTTTTGTATTATTTTCTTCATTTTAAATTCATTTATTTCTGCTTTGATCTTTACTATTCCTTTTCTTCTCCTAATTTTGGGTTTGGTTTTGCTCTTGCTTTTCTAGTTCTTTAAGATGCATTATTAGATTTTTTTTTTAAAGTTTTTCTTCTTTTTTGATGAAGGTACTTATAACCTTCTCTCTTAGTATTGCTTTGACTGTATCCTATAGGTTTCAGTATGTTCTGTTTATCATTTGTTTCCAGAAATTTTTCAATGTTCTTCTTAATTTCTTCTTGTTTTGTGACCTAACATATAGATTGGTTACTGCTTTCTTATTTGGTGAGGTCAGGTTTTCTTTGATGGTCTTAATACTTGCAGATATTTATCTGTGTCTGGGAGTTGAAGAGCTAGGCATTTAAATTAGTCTTTGTAGACTGGGCTTGTTTGTACCTATTGTTCTTGGGAAGGCTTTCCAGATATTTGAAAAAAATTGAGTTTTGTGGTCTAAGCTGTATCTGCTTTAGGGGCCATCCCAAGCCCAGTAACGCTATGGTTCTTGCAGACTCATAGAGGTACCAGCTTGATGGTCTTGAACAATATCCAGAACAATTTTCTAGATGACCAGGCAGAGACTCTTGTTCTTGTCCTCTACTTTCTCCCAAACAAACAGGGTCTCTATTTCTTTTCTAATCCACCTGTAGCTGGGGGTAGAGTGACATAAGCATGACTATGGTCACCACCACAAGGACTGCACTAGGTCAGACATTAAGCCAGCACAGCACTGGGTCTCACACAAGGCCTGCTATAACCACTCCCTGGCTACTGCCCATGTTTGCTCAAGATCTGGGGACTCTACAATCAGTAGAGGACAAACACAACCAGGCTTATGTCCTTCACTTTATGGCAGTGAGTTTCCCAGGCCTTGGGTGGGTCCGAAGTTGCCTTCAGGAGTTAAGGCATCTTAGCAGTAGGAGTAGTTAAAAAAAATCTTAGAAGTCTACATAGTATTCCATTGTACTGTGGCAGAGCTAGCACTCACATCAAAAGATGCAGTTACTTGCATTTTTCATATTCCAGAATTTCTGCTTAACACAGAGAATCACAGAGAACTGCATTTCCACTCTTCTCTCCCCTTTCAAAAGGCAGAAGAGTCTTACTCTATGGTCCTGATCATTACAGGCCCATGGGCAGTACCAGCAGATTACCACTGATGTTCCCTTAAGGCCCAAGGGCTCTTCAGTCAGCTTGTGGTGAATGCTGCCTGGCCTGAGACTCCACAGGACAGCGGATTCCCCTCTGGGCCTGATTAGGTTTAGAAATGTCATTTAAGAGCCAAGTCCTGCAATCCAGATTCTAAGAGACTCCTAGTTGCTTTACCCTGCTGTGGGTGAGCTGTGAACTAAGGTGCAAGCAAACTTTCCCCCTGCCTTTCTTAAGCATAAGTAGTCTTGCCTTAACACCACCATAACTGGTAATGTGCTGAGTCACACCTGAAGCCAGTAAGTATCAGAGGCTCACCAGAGGCCCTTTATGTAAGACCTGGATATCACTGCTGGTTGTTCAGGGCCCCAGGGCTCTTCAGTTAGCAGGTTATAAATTCTGCTAGGGCTGGGTCTTTCCTTTCAATGCAGCAGGTTCCCTTCTGGCCCAAGGTGTGTCTAGAAATGTCATCCAGTAGCTGGGGCTTGGAAAGGAGGCCTCATGACTCTGACTGGTGCTCTATCCTGCAGTGGCTGAGCTGTTATTCAAGATGTAAGACAATGTCTTTCCTGCTCTTCTCACTCCCCTCCTCAGTAGAAGCTCCTTTTGAAGCTGTGGGCTGTGCAGCTGGGGGTTAAGTAGTGGGGTGATGCCAGGACTCCCTTGGCTGCCCTAGCTGGTGCCTCAGTATGTCACATGCCCCCATGTCACTGGTTGTCAGCCAAGTTCAGCAGTAGGACTTGTCTAGGAGCTGCGGTCTTCATGGTCTAGATGGCCTTTAACATTAGGTAGGGCACCTGAGCACTTTAGCCCATGGTGGCAAGGTTTGTGGGAACTCAAGTTCAGACTGCTGGAATCAGGGATTCCCCCCTGGCAAGGGTTGGTTTAAGTGCTCCCTTGTAGGTTGGAGTCAGTTGAATTTGGTCCAGTTTTGCCATCTGCTATAACAGAGCAACACTGAATTCAATGCCTTACAAATGTTGTACTCCCCCTCTCCTGAGTTCACAGAATCACTCTCTGCATCATGCTGCTGCTGCTACAGGATGGGAGAATGGTGGTATCAGTGATTCAAGACTGTTTTTCCTACATCTTCAGTGCCTTTTTCAATGCTGTGGAGTTAAAACCAGGTACTGTAAGTGCTCACCTTATTTTTGGTTCTTATGATAGTACTATTTTGTGTAGATAGTTGTTAAATTGGTAATTGATTTTCTTGCAGGCAGCAACGGTGATCAGTTAAGCCTTCTATTCTGCCATCTTGCTCCACCCTGCTGTTTTTAAATATTTATTAAATCAGTCTGATCCTCTCTATTACCACTGCCCTAATGTGGACCATTATCAAGTTTTCATGGATTATTACAACAGCCTCTCTTCATGCCTGCAGTCTTAAACCCTTCCATTTTTCCCTGCAGAGAAATGTCAAAGTAACATGTCCTAAAATACAAGCTCATAGGAAATTTATTGTTCTCACATGTAGTACAAAGTTCAGGCTCTTCACTGTGAAGCATTCTGCATGGTACCTATGAGCTGTGCAAATGTCTGTTGAAGAAACAAATGGACAATAAATAAAGAGGTGAACAAGGCAAATAAGGCATAATCAGATTCCTTCATGCTTTCTCTTCTTCATCTTTTATCTTTTTTTATCGTGTACTTTTGCCTTCCACATTGATCCCTCCTTAGAACTACTCTCTCTTTCTTTGCCTTGCTAATACCTAATACCTAGTCAACCTTTTTTTTTTTTTAGACTGAGTCTCACTCTGTCACCCAGGCTGGAGTGTGGTGGTGCAATCTCTGCTCACTGCAACCTCCGCTTCCCAGGTTCAAGCAATTTTCTGCCTCGGCCTCCCGAGTAGCCGGGATTATAGGCACCCACCATCATGCCTGAGTAATTTTTGTATTTTTAGCAGAGATGGGGTTTCACCATCTTGTCCAGGCTGGTCTTGAACTCCTGACCTTGTGATCCACCCACCTGGGCCTCCCAAAGTGCTGGGATTACAGGTGTGAGCCACCGTGCCTGGCCACCTCATCAATTTTTAAGACTCAACTTAGAAGTAATCTCTTCACTGAAGTTTTCTGGACCCCTCCTCTTGCATTCCTCTCCCCACAGCATTTCAAATATTGGAAACCTTTCCTCATATTGATTCATATTAGCCTATTAATATTGTTTGGAAATTTGTCCTCTCCAAGACTCATGTTGAAATGTGATTTCCAGTATTAGAGGAAGGGCCTTGTGGGAGGTGTTTGTTTGGGTCATGGGAACGGATCCCTCATGAATGGCTTGGTGCCCTCCCCATTGTAATGAATTCACATGAGATCTGGTTGTTTAAAAAGGGACCTGGTACCTCTTTCTCTCTTTCTTACTTGCTCTCTCCATGTGAGATGCTGTCTCCTTTTGCTTTCACCATGATTGTAAGTTTCCTGAGACCTCACCAGAAGCAGATACTGGTGTAATGCTGCTTGCACAGTCTGCAGAACTGAGTTAAAACAACCTCTTTTCTTTATAAATATATATAAATATTAACCAGTCTCACGTATTCCTTTATAGCAATATAAATGTACTAAGACACCTATGTATATGTCTACCTCTGAACACAGCTCCACTGCATTTTAGCCATTTATTTTCATGTCTCTCGTTATACCTAAACTCATTTACTTAAGGACAGAGATCATATCATATATAAATATTTGCATCCTAACATGAAATTCACTCTTTTCCCTCACTTATAGTTACTTAATACATGTTTATAGAATGAATGCAGAGTTGAATAACTTAACTAATAGTAAATAACAATCATATTTTTCCAATCTGTGTATGTCTGGGGGAAGAATTAATGAACATAATTTCTGCCTTTTAAAGTTTGTCAGTTATAATTCTTAACGTTTTTCTGAAAAACATAAATATATTCAGCTGAAAACTTTCATATAGGGTACATTTATAAATATTAGCACTTCTTTGTTTTTATTCAGAAAAATGCCAAAGATGTTGAATATTTTACAAATATACTCTATGGGAAAATCCTGGAATGATATGGTTATGCTTTATTCAAAGGCTTTGGAGTTCTTTTATTCCCATATTTGACTGGAGTTATGATTTTATATTGAATGCTATGCATATATTCTATCAAGAAAGTTTCTTTAGATTGTGTGAGAGAATTAAATGTATTAACATGTCTTGACACGCTGCTTTAGGTAAATTCTTGAGTCATTTATGACATATTAAGGTGGTATTGTTCACATTGGGGTTACAGCAACAGATAAACAATATTCACACATTATGGGAGATATTTTATGGAGTAACGCATAAATTATGTAAGAAAGGTTAGTGAGACCAAAGTGAGTGAACCAAGAAAGGAGTGCTAAGAGATGGGTAGGAGAGGTAGACAGGGGTTAAAATGAGTAGTTTAGATTGAATTATTATTGCAGGAGAAGCCACTGGACGATTTTTCAACAGAAGAGTAATAAGAAGATAGACCAAAGGACTTGCTGTTGTCTTAGATGCTAAATATTAAAAATAAGTGAAGGAAAGATGAAAAACAAGGGTCTTTCCTTGAGAAACAAGGTGAGTGGATGGTAATATCATTTATTAGGTTGATGCAATACTAAGAGAGGAAATACTCCAGAAAAAAAACTATGCAGAGAGTGGAGATCAAGAATTGAGATAAAATCATGTTGGGTTTGAGAAGCCTATTATCAAAAATGCAAGTGAATATGCCTTCTAAGAGCTGTGTCAACAGATCAATTATGAGAACCTTAGGAGAGCATAATATATGTTAAATTATTAATATGTACTGTGACTTAATACGTTACCTTTCTCAAGTAATATATTTGCATTTTAATGAGTTTTCACTAAACACTTTGACCCAGATAAATTGCTCTAATACTCGCCATACCAATCATGTATCAGACTATGAGAGTTGAGTGCTGTGATAGGCTGTGATAGGCAATAATTATTTTGAAAGACATAGGCACCCCACCACTCTACTGAAACACAGGTCTCATAGTTGCCCAGTTGAGTAGTCTACCTCATCTGCTTCCCAAAATCACTTTTCCATACTCACATTTCCGGAATACAGCCTTAGGAAATATGAATCCCCCACATATGCCCATCAAGAGATTTTCCTGATGAAAATTTTAAAAGATTTGAGAACCTATTCAACAGTTAATTTGTGGTCATCTTTTTTCACTCAATGAATAAAGTTAATAAGTTTTTATCTAATAATTAAGTAGCTAATGTATCATTAAAGTATTTTTAGGATGTTTTAAAATATCAATGGATAATATGTTAGATACCTAACTATGCTTTTTCTTTTTCAATATTCAAAACAAAAGAAAATGTTTACTTGATTTACTATGAGTCTAGTCTTTCAGGGTCAGAAAAATCACTAAAATCAGAGTAATGACATGTTATCTCCCAGTTTGAAAAATGGTAATTCAGAACCCAGTGCTTCATGTGAAACACTCTTAAGCTGAGGAGAGTGAAAGTAAACTGAGGGCAGGGAGGAAATGGAGTCTTGAAAGAGAATGTCAGTGCTTTTCATATTCTTACTTTCACACAGTTCTAATTCACATTAGCAGGGAGATGAACACATAGTGGGATTATGTTGTGATTTGGCCTTATTTCATTTCTGTACACTAAATTATTACTTAGACATTATTCTATTCCATGTAAGGCAAAAAATTTCTCTCCTTGTAAAAACATTTTCTATATTTATGTTTATGTAGCTCCTATAAGTAAAAATGGCTGCATTGTTTAGCCCCAAATACAATCTCTCGGGGTATAACATTAAGATATTTAAAATACTTTATTAAATATTTAAAATAGCTTATTAAAAGATGAATCTCAGAACAAATGCCTGAAAGTTATAGGATATCTTGAAACTGTATTGAGCCTAAAATGAAAAAATAATTAATATGATCATCTTAATAATTTATAAATGTTATAATTAATAATTTATAAATATAGGCTTTATTTAATACAGGTGTATCAGCTCCCACTCTGTAACAATAAACACTAGAACTTAATGATTAAATATGTTTTTCTTTTTAGATTTCTTATGAGCCTACTGATTTTCTTGGTGGCTTGACTGATTTGGGACAACCTCAGTTCATTTCAGTTGGGCCTGTTCAGTCAGGTGAAACAGCTGTCAGAATGACCGAGTTCTGGCTGTCTAGGATGGTTTCCTTGAATTCATTCATAGCTTGCTAGGCATGAATCTGAAAACAGATGCTTCAAAGTTGCAAGATGCCTTTTAACAGAATTATATTACTTTTCTTAATTTTGAAAGAACAGTGAATAGAGGATTTTTTTAATTTATTTTTTATTTTTTTAAATTTTTTTATTATTATACTTTAAGTTTTAGGGTACATGTGCACAATGTGCAGGTTACTTACATATGTATACATGTGCCATGCTGGTGTGCTGCACCCACTAACTCATCATCTAGCATTAGGTATATCTCCCAATGCTATCTCTCCCCACTCCCCCAACCCCACAACAGGCCCCAGAGTGTGATGTTCCCCTTCCTGTGTCCATGTGTTCTCATTGTTCAATTCCCACCTATGAGTGAGAATATGCGGTGTTTGGTTTTTTGTTCTTGCGATAGTTTACTGAGAATGAATAGAGGATATTTAGGAATTTTTAGTCATGTGTTTTGTTTAAGCTAGTCTGATAATTTTAAAAAGTTTATCATTGTTATCATTTTATACACATAGCACAGAACAACTGTTTGATGGAAAATACAAGGTCTTATAACTTCATGCTTGGGCTCAAAAAGCTACTTACCATCAAATTTGCTTCAATTATGTTTAAATGAACTAAACTTTCTGATCATCCTTTAACTGCTTAGCAGGGTGCACAAAAGTATGTGTTCAATTAAGTTAAGACTACTGGCCTTCCCAAATTTTAATTGGTCTCTGTGTTTTATAGGTGAGCCAACAGTATTCTAGAGTTGATATAATGTAATTAAATTTTAATAAATTCTCTGCAAATTAACATAGGAATTAATGGAAAGCATTTCCAAATTACATAATTTGTATAATCTTTGTGAGTTTATTTCACAAGGTACCTTTTCAGAGATAAAAAATGTAATTCTAAAAAAGTGTTAGGTAATTAAAAGATGAATAAAGCTATCAGTAAATGATATGTCAACAATGTTAAGCTATTATTTTCAAATTCTTTTCTATTTAGAAAAGTAATATATTAATTGTAGAGACTGGACATTTAAAAATACATAAAAAGCATAAAAACATTCAAAATTTTGTTATGCATAAATTAAATTAATCATGGAATAATATCATGTATATAAAGATACAGTTAAAATTTCTTTTAATTTTATTAATATTATGTAATAAGCATAATTTTCTTGCGTATTTTTGAAGCATTGTTTTTAATATAAAGTTTCTAGAACATAGTAACTACATAAAATACATTAAACACACATTTTCCTCAGGTATGAAAAATTATTTAAGTAGTCTTTTTTTGAACCTTTGTTCTTTTTGAATGTTTCTTTTGTTATTAAAAGCAAGGCTGCGATGAAGCTAAATATCTGTGTACATGACTCAGTGCTTTCCTCCTGATACTGAATACTTTTTTATAAGTTTGTAGACGTGGACTACTAGTCCACATCTTTTTCCTGTGCGTCTCCAATCCAACCCAGAGTACTCTCTCACTCTCTCTTTTTCTTCCTGCCCCCTTCTACATCTCTAACTTTATTTAAATATCTGCCAATTTGAGAAGCCACATAAGTGTGTTGAATTAATTTTCTTTGCATTGTGTTATCAGTAGGAGTGATTTAAAAAAATTAAATGCTTATTGCATTTCTTTTGTGGAAAAATGCATATTTATACACTTTACCATTTCTCTGTTGAATTTTCAAACTTTGACTAAACTTTTTATATAATACAAAATCAACCTTTTATCTAAAATTGACCTTAGTTTTTTTGTTTTAGATTTATATTTAAAATGTCCTCCATGTCTAGGGTTTACAGAAGTAATAATATCTTCTTGATTTCCTTCATGACAGAGATAGTTTTTAAAATGTGATGTTGCATACATTTTTATTAATATGTTTAGTAAAAACAAGGGCATAGCAGAAACCACAGTGATGAAATACTAAATAAAAGATGAAATGATAATAAGGAAAGCTTCAAAATATGATGCTAGTGGGTCACTGCACACAAGAATTCATCCTGATGGGAACTGTCTGCCCTGGCACCTTTATTCTTCTAGTTGATTAGCTGTCACATGTGGTAACTTGGTAGATTGTGCATTATCATAAAACTTTCAGAATCACGCTGAAAGCCAAAGCATATCATAGCTATTTCTTCTCCCTAAAGATGACTTGAAACCAATAGCTACTCTTCAACTCTTCTCATCTCTCCAAACTGCACATTTCACACAAGTCGTAAAGTACCTTAAATAGGTAAATATCTCATTTTGATTTATATTTCCACAGAGATGACCTAAGCACAGAGTTCTTTATAAAAACCTATGCTTGAATAAATTTGGCCAGATTGCAGAATCAGGAAGGAAATAGATTTAGAGGTTAACATTTATACGAAGGTCAAGTGCTTTGGAAACAAAAAATAAATGGATATTTGTACAGTATAAAAGTCCCTTTATTATGCATATTCTCTATTTTTTTGAATTTTACTTTAAGTTCTGGGATACATGTGCTGAACGTGCAGGTTACATAGGTTTACATGTGCCATGGTGATTTGCTGCACCCATCAACCCGTCATCTAGGTTTTAAGCCTCACATGCATTAGGTATTTGTCTTAATGCTTTCCCTCCCCTTGGCCCCCAGCCCCTGTCCGGCCCTGGTGTGTGATGTTTCCCTCCCTGTGTACATGTGTTCTCATTGTTCAACTCCCATTTGTGAGTGAGAACATGCGGCGTTTGGTTTTCTCTTCCTGTGTTAGTTTGCTGAGAATAATGGCTTCCAGCTTCATCCATGTCCCTGCAAAGGACATGAACTCATTCTTTTTTATGGCTGCATAGTATTCCATGATGTATATATGCCACATTTTCTTTATCCAGTCTATCATTGTCTATCATTGGTAGGCATTTGTGTTGTTCCTAAGTCTTGGCTATTGTAAACAGTGCTTCAATAAACATATGCGTGCATGTCTTTATGGTAGAATGATTTACAATCCTTTGGGTATACAGCTGGTAATGGGATGGCTTGGTCAAATAGTATTTCTGGTTCTAGATTCTTGAGGAATCGCCACTCTGTCTTCCACAATGGTTGAACTAATTTACACATCCAACAACAGTGTACAAGCATTCCTATTTCTCCACAGCCTCACCAGCATCTGTTGTTTCCTGTAAAAGCCCCCTCACCCTTTTTTTTTTAAGACGTAGTCTCACTCTGTTGCCAGGCTGCAGTGCAGTGGCGAGATCTCAGCTCACTTCAACGTCTGCCTCCCGGGTTCAAGAGATTCTCCTGCCTCAGTCTCCCAACTAGCTGGGATTACAAGTCCACGCCACCACGCCCAGCTAATTTTTGTATTTTTAGTAGAGACAGGGTTTCACCACGTTGGCCAGGACAGTCTCAATCTCCTGACCTTGTGATCCGCCCACCTCGGCCTCCCAAAGTGCTCGGATTACAGGTGTGAGCCAATGAGCCTGGCACATAATCTTGTTTTAAGTAACAGATTCTTTTTGACACAAGTTATTGTTTCATCTTCTTTGTAAGAATTTAAAGAGAGAAGAATTTTTATCAATTTGAAATCTTGGTTTCATCATGTAATAATAAAGCACATTTTCACTTTCATAATTAATAAATGGATCATGGTTTGCTCACATTTTGAAATATAGTACAGAACACAATAAAAATGGGAATATGTTGAAGATAATTTAAACTTAAATCATTTAATATATTAGCAAAAAGTACAGAAAGGAGATTATAAACATTTGAAAAATGAGACTAATAATAACCTTAAATCAAATAACAAATGATTTTTGAAGCTCTTTTATTTTCTTCTGTAACATTGGTGAAGAAATATAGACTCTTCTCCATGTAGTACAAAACGGAAATCCTTCGTTTTATTATGTTCACATTTCTGAAAAATTGATGCATGTTTCAAAGAATTGATTGGGAATTGCTGCACTTTACATGTTTAGAAACATATCCAGATATGGAAATCACAGCATACATAGGGCTTTTTAATAAGGAATGACTTCTCATTCACACATTATAATTTTAATTGTCCTTTTTTGAAAGATATTAGAACAATCAACAAGATCTGAAATCATTTTAGGCAAGAATGAATAGACTATCATTTCAATAAGAAGTTGAATTGTGATAAAAGAGGAAAGCACACTACATTTATTTTATTTAGTTTGGGAGTCAATCATGTAGACACAAAGATAATTTACAGTCTTATGTGCACACACTTAACACCCAAGATAAAGTAATGTTTTTTAACTTATTATTTCATATTGAAAGGTATTTTTAATGTGGGGAGAAGCAAGAAGGGAAGCGAAAATATAACCCCATACCAGTAAAATTTAAAAGGCAAAAATCCTCTAAAATACAAAGCCTTGGAGGACAATCTCTGTTCTGAACTGTTGCTGAAAACAAACTGAAATAATGTAAAGACAACCAAAAAGGAACTCCTAAAGCTGCCTGGGGCAGATGATAGTATTTTCTCAGGACACATTTAAGTAAGAGCAGCAAGACAAAAAAGAGGAACAAGAAAGGCAAACTAGACAGGGTCATTGTTATGGAAAAGTTCTCAGTAGCAAGGCCTTATTTCTATAAAAAAGATAATTCATACTCATACTTTATTAATACCAATGTGAGATCCAGGATAACAGATCCAAATTTCCTGCTGCATTGTAGATGAGGCAGCAGAGTGCAACCATAGCTCACCTTTTGGGATTTTAGAAAAGTCTGAGTTTCAGTTATCTTACCGTAAATATCAGGCTAACATCACTTTCATTGATATTTCAGTACTGTCTGGAAAATATGAACGAATATCTGAACACACTTTTAAAAATAGTGGTGTTTCATACTAATATCAAGTAATAAAGTATATTGTTTGAGTTCTACCTTTTTATGAAAAAAATTGAAGAAGGATTTCTTAAAGCTGTGGAAATAAAGACCTATGCTTGGTGTGATCATATAATTTATTGTCCAAATCAAGATAGTTTTGAAAATAAGAAGCACTAAAATTATTAAAATGGTATCCATTTAAAAAAAACTTTGTGTATTGACTAATTGATTTTGTTAAATTGGATGAATTATAAAAAAACTATTAAAATCTATTTTTAAAAAATTTAATAACCTTTTAATAATTTCTATCTCTAGTACCAATTTACTGATATTTTTCTGAAGAATATTTATTTAAAACAGTTTCATACATATGTAATTTCTTTATTAATTTCAACTTTTAATTAAAATATAAAATTCATCATTTTTAATTGTAGAGTTTGATAAATGGTAGTATATTTATAGTTGTATAACCATCACTACAGTCTAATCCTAGAACTTTTCCATCACCTTGGGCTCTAGGTGATTTGTTTTTATTATTGTACAGCATGACTTGGTAAATGTATCACAATTTATAGATGAATTCTGCCGTTGTTTATCATTTAGATTATTTGCAGATTTGGCTTTTATAAATATAGCTACTATAAAAATTATTGTCCTTAACTTCTGGTGCACCTGAGGACACATCTCTGTTGTATATATCCATAAGAATAGAATTTTTAGGTCACAGCACAATCATATATTTATCTTAAGGAGATCATTCTACATTGCTTGGCACAGTGGCTTCTTCAATTTACATTTGTTCTTACAGTATACAAGACAATCTAATGCAATATATATTCAGCCAAAGTTGGTACAGACAAATGTTAAACTTTCAGACATCTTAATATGTATAGTAATATCTCATTGAGGCTTTAAATTGTATTTTCCTGATAATTGATAAAGTTAAACAAGTTCACATGTTAATTTTTCCTTTGAATATCTTCTTTACTGAAGTTTAAAAATCTATTTAAAAATTATGTTGTTTATCTTTTCTTCATTAACATGATAACATTTTTATATATCTGGATAGAATAACCTTCTTGGTTATATATGTTGCTTTTCTACTCTGTGGATTTTCATTATATTAAATGTGTCTTGAGAAATGAAAGTTTACAACTTAAAATAATCCAATGTATACTATAGCATTTACAGTTAAAGCTCTGTATTCTTCTTAATGAGTACTTTTTAAACACATGCTATTTTAAGATATATTAATCTAAATATAGTAAATATTAATATTTTTAAGATAAATACTGTTTTAACTTGTGCTTTTAGATCTATCATTTAATATAAATTTACTCATATGTATTTGTGGATTATGGGATTATGGGTTAGTTTCGCTTTTTATTTTCCAGTTTAGGTGGATGGCTGACCTAGTTCTGTTTACAGAATAGATCATATTTTTCCCACTACTCTACATTAACACGTTTGTAGTAATTAAACTGTACTTATATACATGGGTTTGTTTTTATCCTCTCTATTCTGTTTTATCATTCTGTTCTTCCTAGAGTCAATACTTCATTATTTTAATTACTGTGATTTACAATAAGTCTTGATATCTAATAAGAGATATTATTCATTACTGTGTTAGGCCTCTGTTGATATCAAAGTATATAAGAACAATATAGTAATATGCATAAAAGTTATTTAAAATATACAAACTAACTTTGACCTAGCAGAAATTCTCACATTACTTTCTTCTTAAAGATTTTTCTGAATAATTTAAATCTTTTTTATGTCCAATTATATTTTTAAACCCATTTGTCTTTTTCTAAAAAGTTTATGTTTATGTTGAGATCACATTAAATTTGTATATTTGCAGTATTATCTCTTACAGTGGATGAATATGTCATATTTATTTGTTTTTCTTTAATTTCTCTAAATAATGTTTTATAATTTTGCTATGTAGATGCCTCGCACATTGTTTAGACTTATTTTTTCTTGCTGTTGTAAGTGGCACATTTTATAAAATTATATCTTTTAAACATCTGTTGCTAATACAATTACTTTTGTACTCACAATTCTTGTTTGAGGCCACTTATTACATTAAATATTTTTTCTCAGTTTTTAAATTTTTTTACACAAATAATGAAGTTGTCTATGCATCACAAGTTAGAGTTATTTTCCTTTTCAACTTTTATTATGGTTTGTTTGTTTTTCATGACTTATTTTATTCTCAAGAACTGCCTTTGTAATGCTGAATAGACATTGTAGTAATGGTCATCCTTATCTCTTTATATCACAGAAAAACATCTTCCAAAATTTCTCCTGTAATTTTGTTGATTTTTATTGTTGTTTTTTAGATGATTAAGAAATTCCTCCTTCTAGTTGTAGTGTGCTATGTGTTTTGGCAATAAGTGGATGTTTAATTGTTTCAGAAATAATTGTCAAACATTAAAAACAAATTTGTACTTCTGAATGTGTTAAATTTGAGTGTACTTCTAAATTTACTGATAATGTGTATTTTTACTTCTACGTTCATGAGTGAGTTGGGTTTGTAATTTTCCTTCCTTATAATATCCTTCTCAGGTTTAAGTTTTAAAGTAATTCTTTCTTCATAAATTGAACTATGGCTAGTTTTATAGAAAAGTTGCTGTGACTTTGGTATTATTTCCCCATTTAAAATTGTAAAATCCAGTAAGGCTATCTGGGGTACTGCCCTCCAATTTCAAGTTCTGTTCAGCAATCTGTTCTCAGAAGCCTCTACTGTAATTGTCAGGGAGATACTTCTACAAATCTGCAAGGTCCCTAGGACAGTGTTTCTCCAAGTGTGCTCCTCACACAAGTAGCAGCAATGTCACCAAGAAACTTGCTAGAAATGCAAATCGCCAAGCCCCTTTTAATACGTGCTGAATTAGAAATTCTGAGGTTGGGGCCATCAGTCTTTGTTTAAATAAACTTCCCAGATGACTTTGATGTGAACCGAAATTTGAGAACTACCTTAAGAGAAAGCAACTCAAATGTCAGACTCTCTTTTTTTGCCTTCTCTGATGTCTTGGCAGAAAGTATTCACTATCTTGTTAGTACTACATTGACATCGACATATATGAAAACAACATAATTATATGTATAAAAAATATTGAAAGTATAAAAACTAACTAACCTAGCAAATTCACTTACAGAAATTAATCCTAAGGAAACAATATGAAATTCTTAAATGTTTTACATGAAATTATGTTTAAAGGACATAAATTTGTACATAGATGATATTCATTTCAGTATTATTTAGTTAATTGTGGAAAACTATGTGTAAGTTCATTAATAAAAATTGATTAAATAATTATTTTATCTTTCAGTGATACAATATTATGCATCTAACAAAACATTGATTATATATAAATGATTTTATATATCATATATGATTTTATATACAATAAATATAAATGATTATATATAAATGATAAAAAAATATAAAAGATTATATATTATATACATATAATGTATTTCTTTCCAATGGTAATATATTTTTGATATATGCATTAAAATACCAATATAAAGTAATTTGCATTTTTGTACTTCTGTATATTTTCTTCTCAGCTCTACTAAAAAGTTACTGTTTCTAAAGAGTTACCTTGACTTGTGCTGTAAATGCATTGCCTGACTATCCCAATTTCTAAACAATTTTTAGAAAGTGTTGTAAATGTATTTTACGGCATTTATTGTTAGATTATCAAATTTATGTCGATTAGGGATGTTTTTATTATACATATACAGGTATAAATGGATTTGCTCCCATTTAACCTTCATTTATTTTTTAATGATTATATTATAGTTTTAAAATATTTGCTCAGTTTTTACTGTTATTAAAATTTATCATTGGCTTATGTAAAAAGATGCAAGGAGAATACAGAAGAAAAAAGGAATCCACATCAATTTGGGTCTTATCCTTAGATAGAGTCTTTGCACATTTACTAATAATCTGTTTCCAATTTTAGTATGTGGGCTATGAAGTGAGCATCACATTTTTTGTAAAGTTTATAATATTCACACTTTCAAAACCAAAACACTTCTATAGTTAATTTTTGTTGATATTAGATGTTTGTGATAAATACACCAAAGATTATGTTTTAACTGGGATGATTTCTTACAATGTTTTTCTTTAGGGAGAGGAGATGATATGGGAATAAGATCATAATACATTGCATAAATGGCATTCAAAGTTGTGGAGATATATATATATAATGTATATGCATTGAAATACCAATACAAAGTAGGCTTACTATTAGATGTGTGTGTGTGTGTGTGTATATATATATATGTGTGTGTGTGTGTGTGTGTGTGTGTGTGTGTGTATGTATGTGTGTGTGTATATATATATATATATATATATATATATATATATGGAAAAGTTAAAAAAAAAAACTCCTTGCCAAAAAGGTAAAATTAGAAAACAGTTTCAATAACATATTGCATATATTTTGTAACTCAATTAAGACAAATTATTATAATATAATATTACTATTAAAAAACCAAGCTCTGAGTTATTAGCTTGAAAGGAGAGGTTGACAGCCTTCCCCCAGATATGAGATAACAAGACAGCCTGACACATTCTACTTGTAAATACTTTCATATACTGTTTTGAAGTAAACTTTAATTAGCAGACATCATCAATAAGCATTAGATTTGTCATATGCTAATTGTGACAGAGTTTTAATATGTCCTTTTGTTATTTTAAGACCAGATTATTCAGTCACTAGGAAGGGTACAGGTGTGTGTGTGTGTATACATTAGTGTTTTGAAATATAGACCAGCCTCTTCTATAGCCCAGAGTAGAGAAGATTGACTGTGTTCCTTGTCTCAGTCTCTTTTCCTATATTTCCTTCTAGCATAGGTCTTTCTCTGTGCTTACCTGCTGGGATCCACTATGATGTCTACCACTGAGGCTGTTCCTCCTCTCAAGACTCAAGACCCTCTTTACTTCTTTTAACTCCACTAGAGGAAGGACAGCAGTAAAATGTTCAATGCCGTTTGTGTCTGTTCTTGGCAGTGACATTCAGTTCTCTTTATAAAACAAGGGAGTAGAAAGAGAGTAGAAGTGACATCTTCACACACACATACCGTTTGCTAGATTTGTCAAACAGCTGATTTCAAACTGTTAATATGACACAGAATCAATTTTTTTGAGTCAAACTTTTCATTATACAATAGAATTGAAAAGTTAATATCAGAATAACTGTCTGTTAGTAAGATTTTATTTAAAAAATTTGGTTGCATACACACCTAAACATTCACTTACATTGTTATAGCATATGACATTGTGATGTAAAATATATTTCTTACTCTAGTCACGGTCATAAACGATCGAAAGCCATGACTTAAGGGCATTATTTAGTGCTGAGCTGTCTAATATGGTAGCTATTTTATTTAAATGTAAATGAATTAAAATTACATAAAATTAAAATCAGTGTCTTAACCAAAGCGGCCACATTTAATTGCTCAATAATTACTTGTGGCAACTTTATTGTATATCTTGGGTCCAGCCTTTTATCATCGCAGAAAGTTCTGCTGGCAGTGCTGATGTAGAAACAATCTAATACTATATTTGTAACATTTTCTTTATATGAAATTTGTACATAACAAATAATGTCCAACAATTAATAAAATTTGTGGTGGTTTTTGTCTTTTGCTACAATAAAGTTTTATGCAATAGTATTTAGCTGGTTGTATTAGATAGTGTTGACTTATTGAAAGAATTCCATTGCTTTATTTAAGAAAAGCAAGACCCAAAACCATGAAGCAAGAAAGAATAATCATTAGTGGCATGAACTCGGAATCCACTGCTCAGATTCAAATCCACTTTTCTACCTGTGTGAACTTGGACATTTATTTGCCTCAGTTCTATTACCTGTATAATGGATATGACGTGAATAGTTTTATCTATATCTTAGTGCTTAAATTTATAAAGTGGACTTTATATTACAAATTTATATTCATAAAATGCCTACACAAGTAAAAGCTAAATTAAGTGATGAGTTAAATTCATTTTTTGTCTAAACGTATTTGTGTCATATATAAATAAATATATACTTGTATTTGTGTGTGTATGTATATTATTTTGTCAAGCATCTTCTGAAAATGCGCAGAAGGCACAATGCAAAGTTGTGGTCATTAAAATTTTAATTTGGTTATTGACATTTAAGTTCTCCTTCCTGTGTTAGATGATTCTGGACACACATTTATATGTTATGAGCAAAAGTTAACTACCGAATATCTATGTTTCAATATTATTTATTTTTAATTTTTTTATAATTTTAAATGGTTTCTCACAAGGATAAGATAGAATGGAGAGTTTGGAAATTTAAAAAGTAAATGTAGTTCCAAGATGAAAATTGAGAACCATTTCCATTTTAAAAGAGAGAACAGCTTCACAGTGGATTAAAGTATTAAGCTTTATGTCAGTCAATCCAGGTTTCAAATTCCTCTTGCCTCAACTACCCACCATGCAATGAGGGCAGATTACATAAACTTTTTTAGTCTCACTTTTGCCATCTAGCAAGTGAGTGAGATAATATGTGTACCTTATAGAGTCGTTGTGATAGAAAATGAAGTATCAGTGTATTCTCACTTATACATTGAGTACCCAAAGAAGGGAACAATAGACAAAGGGGTCTACTTGAGGGTAGAGGGTGGGAGGAGAGTGAAGATAAAAAAAAAATACCTATCAGGTACTATGTTTATTATCTGGGTGACAAAATAATCTGTACACCAAACCCATGCAACGCTCAGTTTCTCCATGTAACAAACCTTCATATGTACCCCTTGAACCTAAATGCTGGAAAGAAAAAAAAAAACGAAAATGAAGTAATGTATGTAAATTGCTGAGAATCATGTTCAGCATAGAGTAAGTGTTCAACAAATGTAAGCCTTTATCATATTATTCATATAATAGTAACTGCCTCCCTTGCATATGTAATTAAACAGCTGAATAGTTTGATTTTCTTCTCATAACTAAATTGTGATTTTCTCTCTGTTTCTGATTAGGTGTGTGATATTGAATAAATGGTTCACCGTTTCTAGACCTTGGTTTCTACTGAGAAATAAAACAAATGGATAAAGTCCTCCTAATATCATTTCTGAGCCTGTAGTTTGGAATCTCAAGAGAAACAAAGTCAAAGACATTAAAAGAAATGATGTGATGTAAGGGTAATGAGGAAAACTAAATATATTTAGGCATATTTGAAATTTTGAATGCATCAAAATCCAACCTATGTATCAGTCAGCAGAAGCCCAGTGAACAGTTTGTGTGGTTTGACAAAGCGTACTAGATTTCAGTATATTTCAAACTTTTTCTCTTAAGTATGTCTGCTAATTGCTTTTACACTTCCATTATATATAATTCTTTCAGAGATGAATTTGACATTATGCATTAAATTAGAAAAAAGTCAATAACTTATAGTCAATAAGAAGCTAAGCAAAAGTTTATGTGTGTTTTATTGGTGTCTCTGAGATGATTTATAAGTAGTACTCTTCGAATGAAATGAAAGTTAAAGATGAAAGCCAACATATAACCTTTATTTCTGATGGACATTAAATGGGAAAGCAATTTGGTCTGAGGGGCAGTTTGGCAGTTAGAAAATTTGTAAATTCCAGAATGTAACCATCAGTTTATAAGGTATTAACAGGCAGTGCCACATGAGATTCAAATGAGAAAACAATAGAGCAGAGCAGCAAACTTATGCACATGATATCCGGAAACTTCCAAGAAGAAGATGAGAAAGCTGCCCAAGTTATTCTTCCTTAGGTTATTATTTATAAGTTTATAGATAGAACCATTCATTCCACATTTAGAGGCCAGGAAGTTAAAGGACTGAAAGAATACTAAATATGCTTAGGAAAACAATTCTTTCTCATGGCAAACAAGTCCAACCACGTTTTACAAATGTTGGAGTGGATAATTTAGTCTTTCTTATTTCATTATTAAATTGAATGGAGAGGCTTAGCAAAATATATGAAGACACATGCTTTGTGTGATAAGGTTAGTTTCAGAAAGGAATGAGGAATAAGATTTTTTTTTCCAATTTATATTTTTTAATAGGTCCACCATTGTACTTAGCAGATAACATTTTTACATGAACTTCTTTACATGAAATTTTCAACATGAAATGTTGTTGAAATATGTTTATATGTCCCATATTTCCAAAATAATTTTTTCTCACTGACTCTACCTTAAAATTACAATAATATATGTAGGACGTCTTCCTTTATTGTAATCCAGAGACCCAAATAAAACTATGCATCACACATCCTTTATCTTGTCAAAATGGCGCGATTCTTATGAGATGAAGTTGACAGAAACTCTTGTCATTTTGAGTTGTTTTGAGTTGCCTTGTTTTTCTCCACAGAGCTGCTAACAGATCTGATGGTTGAATATCTCCCAACAACTGGGCCCTAGTTTTTGAATTCATCTTCACAATGTAAAAAAAGATTACAATAAATAGTTGTATCAGTCCATTCTCACACTGTGTAAAAATACTACCTAAGACTGGGTAATTTATAAATAAAAGAGGTTTAATTGACTCACAGTACCACATGGCCGGGGAAGTCTCAGGAAATTTACAATCATGGCGGAAGGCAAAGGCGGAAGCAAGCACCTTCTTCACAAGGCTGCAGGAGAGAGAGAGCGAGGAAGCAAGGAAATGAGAACTCACCCACTGTGACGAGAACAGCATGGGAGAAACTGCCCACATGATCCAATCACCTCCCAACAAATCCTTCCTTCGACACGAAGGGATTACCATTTGAGGTGATATTTGGGTGGGAACACAGAGCAAAACCACGTGAGTAGTATTAGAGTTTATTCTTCATTCTGATGGAAATAGCAATACAACAAAAGACAGTCTTAAAAATCCTCACTATTGTTTATCTCAACCTCTTCTTTGGGAAGTAGAATAATTGCAGCCCTGGACATGTCTAATTCATGAGGGCACATAGATATAATTCACGTTTTGCCTCATCAAGTATTCTATAGAGGGAAAAGACTAAAATATGTGAAAAGTTGCTACAATAAAAAAATGTAATTTATAATTTTTGGAATTATGCTAGCAAGATGTTGTGAACAGGTTTTCCCAATTCAGAACACCAAAAATATTAAATAAAACATGAAGATAAGAAATATTTTTCTTTCTTTAAATAGATAAACTAGAGGGACAGTAAAAAAAATAAGTGAAACTAGAAACAACACAGGGGTCATGAGGGATGAAGGCATCTCAAGTAGCATTTCCAAGATAGCATCTGCCAAATTTGGAGTAAACATGTATGTGTGCTCTGCTAAGGCCAGTTATACATTTAAGGGGAGGTGAAAGGTCAGCTCAGACAGCTGCCCCTATTGCCAATGAGCACGCATCCTTTCCTCCCAACTCCCCCAACGAAGCCAAGATTCCTTTATTCTTTCACTTAGGAAACCAGGAAAAAAAACTAGAAAGCAATAAGGTGCTTCATTTCCTATCTTGGTCTTGGCTCCAGGTGGAGTATAAAAAATCATTAACTTTCTTTGTCATCATTTATTGTCTAGTGGGCTTTATAAATATTATGTTGGATCTAGAGTCTATGAAATCTATCTACAGAGTTTGTCCTGTGGCAGAATTTTAAGAAAATCAGAGATAAATACAATTACTCTAAATAAAACACTAGATTAATTTACACAAAATATTCAATGCATAAATCAATATTTTAGAAAATTTGGTTTGATTAAAATGCTGGCTTTGATAGAAATACTACGAATATGTTGCTTAAAGTTATACAGTAAATTATAAAATATCACAAACTTGAAAAAGATAAATTTATCTATATTGCTTTTGTGGGTTAGAAAGTTTTAGCCAGACTAAAAGTCTACTTGATGTCATTAGTTTGGGGGATACTAATGTATTGAGCACCATGACTCTTGAATAATAGAGTAGTTCATTCTGTTTTTGCATTTTGAGATTATTATTTATGCATGTCCTTGTGCTAGATAGCACTAAGCATTGCTCCTTCATTAGTGGTTCCCACTGTAAGTTATGTTTATATTCAAAAATTCTGCCCTGGGAAGGATCATATTGTGTGGGAAATAATTACAGGCCAAAAGTGGAGAGCCTCTGCTTAAAATGTATTAGAAATTATCTGCTTGATGTGCCTCCGAGTTTCCATAGTGCGATTCTGTCTAATTATCCCTGGGGATCTGCTAGGCTCTCTGACTATTAAGCAGATAATTTTTTAACATTGGGAAATATTTATTTTCAACTAGATAGTTTTTTGAGCCTGATGCTTTAAGAAGAATATTTCTAATAAAATTATTTAAGTATTTAAGGACAGTTGAGTATTGTTTGTTAATTTGGTCAATCAACTGATGGCATAGAAACTGCCCGATTCCCTTGAAATATGGTTGGAAGTGATAATGTTAAATTTCTGTTCTCCTCCATGTTGAAATTGTTGCTTCCAACAGACCATTCCTGGGAGAAACATTACTATTTTAGATATACCAATTACTATAGCAGAGCTTTATGAAATTCATGGTTAACTTCATTGAGGATAGGTTGATAGATGCAAACAAAGTTCAACTCAATTTACATATCTTATATCTGTATGTGTATCATAACTCTCTTTGGTGTGTCTGCCTAGCTTCTGAAAACATTTTCAGAAAGCTCTGCCATTAAGTATTCTTCTAATAAAGTACAAGGACACTAGTGGCTGCCTTTATTATTTATTTGCTCTGCCAAATTATTAAGGTTTTGAAAGCATTTTGAATTTCATGTTTTTGCTCCAAACTGGGAACCTAGGAAGTATTTGAATTAAAAGTGGAAGACAAATGGTTCTACCTAAATTATCTTTGAGGAAAAAGGACTGTCCACAACGAGCTGTTCAAGATCACATCAAATATTTGAAAACCTGGGAGCGTTTTATATGGGGTGTGAGTGTGTGTGTGTGTGTGTGTGTGCATTTATGTGTAAGGACAGTTTAGGAATGAGTGGATTTGTTGAAGATAAATATTGAGAAAAGAAAGAAAAACTTCAGAAGTTTCTATATGTATTAGTCCATTTTCACACTGCTGATAAAGACCAAGACTGGGCAATTTACAAAAGAAGGAGCGTTTATTGGACTTACAGTTCTATATGGCTGGGGAGGCCTGACAATCATGGTGGAAGGTGAAAGGCACTTCTCACATGGTGACAGACAAAAGAAGAGCTTGTGCAAGGAAACTCCCCTTTTTAAAAGAATCAGATCTTGTGAGACTTATTCACTATCACAAGAACAGCACAGGAAACGTCTGTCCCCATGATTCAATGACCTCTCACCGGGTCCCTCCCACAACAAGTGGGAATTCAAGATGAGATTTGAATGGAGACACAGCCAAACCATATCACTATATGAAATAAATACAATTAAGACTTCAAGAGGATGAGGAACAATGAGTTGTAGGTTTTTATATTATTTTATTGAACTTGTATCTTTTCTGTTCCAATGATAATAATACAAACAGATTTCATTTTTTTGGTTGAGGAAATGAAACAGGTTAAAGATAAAATTAGAGTCTAAAAAAGCAATAACAAACAAAATTAAAGATACAAGCAGAGTACATGAAATTAATAATTAGCACAAAAAATATGGCCAGAAGTAATTATATCCTTGCTAGATTTTAGCCACAAATTTGTCCTTGATCTTGTTAGCAACCAATGCAAATGAGGAACACATTATGCATGTGTCTCAGTGTCCCAAAGAGGGAAACAAACTGATCCACCTGGGTACACTTATTCCTAGCTGTGATATGTGAAATACAGTTTCCTGTGAGTAAAGAGGAGTTGCATGGCAACTATGGCAAACATCTTCACATTGTAATTATAATAAACACAGTGATGAGTTTTAGAGGGTTGTATCTGTCAGAAATACATCCAATGACCCATGCTATGCAGCATATGCAATGCAATAAATTAAATCCTAGGTGGTGAGAATTCAAAACAGCACGTCCCTGGTATACAATCTTCAATGGAACATTTTAACACATCAATCTGGATTACAGTATTCAGTGTCATGTTTTCCAAACTCTGCTATCCAGATCTATGGGATTCCAGGGTTTCAGTGGCTAGAATCAAGGCTTTCTCTTTGCACTCCAACTAAGATTATTCTACTTTCATCTCTATTACATAGTAACTGCTTACACAAGGCCTTGTTTGTTTAGAGTGTTCCAGAGCTTTTGTTAAAAAATAGAAAGCAATAATGTAAATTGATTGATAAATGAATGGAATGTTTAGATTTCTCTTAGGCAATATTCTATAGAAATTATTCATTTCAGCCAAGTTGTTGTTTTTGCTGTTAGTAGACTGTTTTTTTAAAGCATTTTTAGGTTCACAGCAAAATTTATTGGAAGGTAGAGAGATGTCCCCATATATGCATAGCCTCCCCCATTATCAACATTCCTCCATTAGAGTGGTACATGTACTACAACTGATGAACTTACATTCATACCAAAGCCATTATCACCAAAATCCACAGTTTACATTGGGGATTACTCTTGGTGTTTTAGATTCTTTGGGTTGATACCAATTTATAATGGCACGTATCCACCATTATAGTATTACACACTGTAGTTTCACTACTCTAAAAATTCTGTGGCAGGTTTCAATGAGTGTTATATAGCAGTGAACTGAGTATGCTTTTTGACAAATACTGGAAAGCAGATCTTAATGTTGTTCTGAAAAAGAATAAAATCATATCTTTAAACCGTCAGCTGAGCTTACAGTAGACTTTGCTTTCTTTTTAAAAAATTGAGGAGTGTCAAACTGAAAAGAACATCCATTAATGTGGATGAAATTTTCCTAAAAATAAAACAAAAGTTTGGTTAAATGCAAACCCTGAGGGTGAAACTTCTAGGTTATATGTCATACCTACAATGGTTTTATCTAAATTATATTGGATTTTATGATGTGTCTATCTTGCTAATTAAATAGTGTTGGTAAAGTATAGTATTCTTTATAAGTTCAGCTGAACACTGAAAGATAACTTTTCCAATTGTATTCATAGGTTATTAAATAAGTCAACTTTATGAAGAATCTGTTTATCTACACACCAGCTGGGGGTTATCTTCTTTGTATAATTACTCTTTCTGGTAGCAAGTGGGTATCAAGGGCATTTCTTGGCTAATATTGCTTCCAATTTGAGAAAATGAAGCCACTTTGTTTGCATATAGAGAGTGGGGGATCTTTCTCTTCCCCATGCAGAAATATATGAATTTCACTTACTCAAAAATACTATCAAAGTATCAATATGGGCTTTTAAATTTTAGGCTTCTAGATGACTTCTATGTTTTATCCCATATAATAAATACATCAAGAGAAAATTCTTCTTATACTGAGTAAGCTTAGCATATTAAGACATATGTCAAGGGGAGGCAGAGCATTAGGAAAATACCTAATGCATGTGAGGCTTAAAACCTAGATGACCTAGATAATAGGTTGATGGGTGCAGCAAACCACCATGGCACATGTATACCTGTGTAACAAACCTGCATGTTGTGCACATGTATCCCAGAAACTAAAATAAAGTAAAAAAAAATAAAAGAAATAAATGATGAAAAAAAGAAAAAGATACATGTTCTGCATGATATTTCCAAAACAAAGATTTATTTTGAGCTAAACCCAGAAACATACCCTTCCTCTTAAAGAATTATGGAGCTCAGTCTTCCAGCTTCAACAGGAAGAAACTGGCACACATTTTCAATGGACTTCCTTATTAGCTAGAAAATTCCTGCTTTGGCAACAAAGGTATTGAGGTAGGACAGTGGTCCATCAGGAAGGGCGGTAATCACAGAGCTGTGAAAGTAAACAAATAGGTAGTGTCTGGAGATCACATTCAAAACGGTCCTTAAAGTACAGAGGCTGGAAATATTGCTTGGGACATTATTAAGCAGTTTTTTTTTTTTTTAAATCAACATGCTTTTCAGCGGTCATCACCAGAAATCAGCCAGAAAGTGGCCCATTGAGTTTGAACAAACCATCTCCATTGGTGGAAATCAAACATGACCTTCTATGGTCTCAGTCACCAAATTGATGTTTTAAGTAACCAAGCATTTATATCTCATTTAGTTGCAAGATCTGAAGAATAAACATTATTTTCACATTGGTATACCACACTTGAATTGTTTTGAGGTATTAATAATATATAGTCAGGCAAATTTGATAAGGTCCTTAGTGACTGTTTCTGAGTTCTGATGTATATAGCAATTGTATCTATCAGGGTTCTTAGCTGTAGGCTAAAAAGTCTGACTCCAGTTTAAGCAGAAAATAAATTTTTAAAAACAGTGTGAGATCACAAAACACCCAAAATATTGAAAATGAAGTACAGAAAAAGAGTAGGACGAAGGATGCTAGGGTGCAGTCAAGAACTTAGCCAAATTCACGGCACAGAAGAGGAACAGGTCTCTACCACTGAACACAGGATGATCCAGCTTCTATGGACATCTTAGACTGCTCTTAAAAGCACTGCTACTTTTGCCCCAGAAATCAGCACGTTTGCCCCATGGCCACTCTTGGCCATCAGAATGTATTTTCTGTTGCCCCTGTTTCTTTAATATCCTTCTGTCAGTGTATTTCAATTCAAAAACCATAGAGGGTGTTTCTTATGCTAAAATCTAGGTTATGTGTCTGCATCCTAGATGCACAAAGAGGTTGAAAAGCAATCACAGAGCATTTCAGCTTCAAGGAAGACATACGATTTGCCTCTCACCCAAAATACTTAATATTTAATGAATGCTTCTTCTGTGTTAGGCACTGTTGTATGAGTTTATTTGCATAATGTGGAGAATTTATTAAACTAGGAGAGATTCAGGGAGCTACATCAAATATGTAGAAAAGGGTGAAATAATCACTTAACTCATGTTCCAGAACATATTCCAAGTAGTGTTGTAAATAGAGAAGGAATCGTTTTGGAATAATTTATGATACTGTTTTTTTAGGATAAAAGTAAAAGTATAAATCTCCCTAGATTGGTCTACCATGTCAAAATTTCAATACCAGGAAGTTTGCTCTATAAATGCTTTGGTGAAGAATTTTTCATTGGGTTGATATATCTGTTTTTAGAAGAATGCTCCATAGAGATCAGAATTTTTTTTTCTTTCTTGAACCACTTCAGAGAGAACTCAGTGAACTAGCTGCCAATCTTGGCATTCAGTTCCCCCAGAGAGCAGTGTTATTTACCAAATTGGTTTTAGCTGACTACCAGAGAAGCAGAAATGTGAAGCAAACACCTAACTCCTTCCACATGTTGAATCCAGTACCAGGGAAGTAAAACTTAACATTTATAAAGAATTATATAATTTCAACTTTTTTTTCTGTCAATCAAATTCTTACTCCAGCATTCTAGTGTCTGAAGAATACTGGTAAGTAGTCTCAGGGTACCAAAGATAGGAGAGAGAGAGAGAGAGAGAGAGAAAGAGAAAAGAGAGGGGAAGGAAGGGAAGGGGAGGAGATTAGAAAAGAGAGAGAATATTTGACTTTTAGAAGTGTGGACACAAAAAAATAAAATAAAAATGTACTCTTGATGTTGTCAAATATAATCATACAGTCTGGCTCTCTTCACTTCCTGACCACATTCACTCTTGAAACACAAAATCAATTCCAGCTCCCTGAAGTCACTTGTTGTGGGTCACCATTAATACCCTAATTGCAGAAACTACTTTGAAATTTTTTAGTCTAGTATCTTAATCATGTTTGACCACTCTCTGCTCTTGTAAGCTCCCATCCAGGGCACAATCTCCTAATTTCTCATGTATCACAGACTAGTCTTACATGTCTCCTAGGCAAGCTTCTCCTTTGACCAATCCCATCTGTTTCTTAGACGTAAATCCTTAGGTTCTCTCCCCGTTCTCACCTAATTTTTTCCCTTTCCTGGGTGGTTTTATCAATGGCCTCATCTACCAACAACATGACTCATTAATTTCAAGTCTCCAGCCCAGCTCTCCCTCCTGAGCTTGTGTATTCTACGGCCAGCTGCTTATGCAGGGAATATTTATAACTAAATGTGCCATTGTAACTGCAGCATCCTTAAACTCGAATAACCTTCCCAGACAGATGCTCCAGAAAGTAGTATCTTTGTGATAATATGATTAAATGATAGGTATCATGGTACAAGCAGCTGGATGAGTAAAACCAGAGGATTATGTTTATGATAAAATAGGAAAATAAGAGAAGTTAAATATTCGGTATTTAAGAGTTTAACATGTCATAAAGAGAAAATAGATGGTGCAACTGAATGCATTTTTAAATTGAAATCTACCATGTAAAATTTTTTTATTATTTCAATAGACTATAAGTTCCATTAAGTGTAGGACAAAGATAGTCTTTCCTACCACTACACTGCAATTTCTCCAATAGTTGTGTTTTAATAAACATTTGTGGATTTCTGGTAATATTATAATAATGCCAATTGTGATGATGATAGTAAAGGTATTTTGCAGTAACATGTGCTAATTATTTGTTACTGGTACATTTTAGGTGCTCAGTAAATTTTAGTGGATAAAAGATAAAAGAGTAATTTTTTACACATTTGGGTTTTTTAAATTTTTTAAAATTTAATTTAATTTTATTTGAAATTCCAGGATCCATGTGCAGGATGTGCAGGTTTGTTACATAGGTAAACATGTCCCATGGTGGTTTACTGCACCTATCAACCCATCACATAGGTATTGAGCCCTGTATGCATCAGCTATTTATCCTGATGCTCTCTCTCCCCCTGCCCCCCGCAATAAGCCCCGGTGTGTGCTGTTCCCCTCCCTGTGTCTAGTACACATTTCTTTTATAAGTTGGAGATAGCTAGCTCTAGGTTGTGGGTAGAGATTCCTAATTCTGGAGATAGCTTCGCCAGGCATGGGTGTGCAGGGAAGAACGGAAAAGTAGTTGCTGATACTATAGACGCACATCTCCTAGAGAATGTAGGGGAGGGTGGGCGAGATAGGGGATAGAATTTCTAGGTTCCTCTTTCACACCCATCCTGGCTTTTCAAGCTTCCATTGGGAATGAAGGTCAAACAGAAGAAACAGATATGTTCTTAGTTTCTTTGTGCCAGTCCCAGATGCCTCAGAACAACAAATAATAGTTTCCAGAAAATAATGAGAGACTGTATGTGTGTGGGTGTGTTTGTGAGATTGGTAGGGACAGAACAGGAGTCTCAGTAAAATAGTAAATAGAGATGACAAATGTTACTCAGTTCCTGGGTGTATCGGGAGCTAAGCTTCTTTCCAGCTGTGGAGAAAGAATACGTGTAAGAACAAGAGCTACAGGTGTTTCTACTAGATATCACCTAGGCTAGTGCTATTACAGACAGACACACACAGACACACACATATAAATATAACCATATATAAATATAATTTTAAAACCATGATTATAAATATCATATTATATGGTTATAAAACTGTGATTAATTTTCTTAAATCTAAGGTGCTAAGTAAGAGGAAAGGTCATTTGCCAAGAATTAACAGTGTGGAGTCAGGTTTGTAGTTAAAACATTATCAAAGTTATTTGAGAAAAATTCATTGTGAAAGGTAATAGGAAGTCACTGAAATGCAGAGCAATAGTAAAAGTCAAGAGAAATCAGCCTGTGGTTTTAGTGGGAAAAAAAATACTTTCGTGATTGTCTTCAGCAAGCATGATTTCGTCTAAATTTTCAAAATTTGTAGAAAAGAGGTACCACATTATTTCTTTACACAGATAAAGAATTAAGGCACAGAGAGGATAGTTCCTACCCTGAGATCATATAGCTTACCAGTGGTTTTTCAGTCTGTATTGTGAGTTGACAGAGGTTTTCTTCCCTCCAAAACCTTGTCCTTGATTTATGTCATATAAAGGAATCACTGAGGAGGTTTCAAATGCAGGTTTAATGCAGAATAGAATTTTGTTTCTTTATTCAGTTATCTCTGAAATTGACAAATTGCTAGTTAAAAACAAAACCTAAACAGAAACTTTCATTCATTGCTGGTGGAAGTAGAAAATGGTGCACCCATTTTGAAAGACAGCATGGCAGTTTCTTACAAAGCTAAACTTAGTGTTACTGCATAATCTAGCCATCGTTCTTACAGATATTTATACACATGATTTGAAAACTTACGTCCACACAAAAACCTGCATGCAAATGTCTATGGATTTTTCAGTCATAGTTTCCAAGAACTAAAAGCAACCAAGATGTCCTTCAATAGGGGAATAGTTTATCCACGCTACATTCAAACACTGAAATACTATTTAACAATAAAAAGGACTGAGACATCCAATCTTGAAAGATATAGTTCAATAACAAGTACATATAGGTAAGCGAAAGAAGATAGTCTTAAGACGCTATAGAGTATTTGCCACTTATATGATATTCTGGAAAAGGAATTCTGTAGAGATGGTAAAACAGATTAGTGGTTGTCAGTAGATCAGGGAAAGAGGGGAAGATTGGGCAAGTGAAACAAACGGTATATCTTAGAACAGTGAACTATTCTGTATGATATTGTAATGTTGAATGCATAACACCATGAATTTCTGAAAACTTTTGGAAATTTACAGTACAAAGAGTGAATCTTAAAGTATATAAATTAAAACCAAAAACTTTAGGAGGTTTTGGATTCCAGGATGGAATGTGAAATGTAGTATAAAGATCTAAGTGCACTATAAGTATATGAAATAACCTCACTGAAGGGGATAGAGGATAAGATAATGACCTAAATATCTTTGGAAATGAGTGGAGTCTACAAGCTTAAAGGCAAAAGAAACTATATATAAACACAATACTATAATTAATAAAGGTTTTTCCATTGTGGTGGGTACAGGTTAGCAATTTGGAAGCTGCTACACAAGTATACCAGAATTGAACAAATAAGCAAATGTAGGGATCCAGGTTTCTAACTTTTGTTCAATATTGTTCAAAATAGAATTACCATATGATCCGCCAGTTATACTTCTAGGTGTATACCCAAAAAATTTAAAGCAAGGATTTGTACAAATATTTATATACCCATGTTCATAACAACATTATCCACAATAATCAAAATGTGAAAGCAATGCATGTTTATTAACAGATAAATGGACAAACAAAATGTGGGATATATGTACACTGGACTATTATTCAACCTTAAAAATAAGGGAATTCTGACACATGTTACAAGATGAGCTTTGATTGCCTTATGCCAAGTGAAATTAGTCGGTCACAAAAAGACAAATACTGCATGATTTTATTTAAATATGGTACATAGAGCAGTCAAATTCATAGAGACAGAAAGTAGAGTGATAAATACCAGGGGCTGAGGAGAGGGGCAATGGGGAGTTCATTGTTTAATGAGTATGGTATAGAGTTTTAGTTTGAAAAGATGAAAAAAGTTCTTAGGATAGATAATGATGATGGATATACAATAATATGAATTTACTTAATGCCACTGAACTGTACATATAAATGGTTGACTGGAATTTTTAATAAATATAATTTACCATAATAAAAATACATGGATTACAGATAGCTATGCAAATTTTAACTCATAACATGAAATAATTTGAGAAATCTGATATGCACATTTAATATGTTGTTATTTTACTGGTCCTTCAAAATGAATCAGTGTACTTAAGCACCTAGAAAAAAACATTGATCTTACACATTGATAAAGATATTAGGGTTTTAGTGATTGCACATATTCTAAGAAACTATAATTCTGTGAACAAGAAAACAAAGAAATATATAAAGTTAACTGTGTACCAGCAGATAACAGCCTTCTCTTTCATCAATAATATAGGAGAAAGACATTCCATTAAACAAACTTATTGCCCTCTTTGCTACCTCCACCTGCCCCTTAACCCATATTATTACTTGCATCAATCTTGAGTCACACAGAATCACTTAAGCCTCTCTGAGCTACACTCTCTGACTTTTAACACCAAACACTTTCTTCACATAACATATTTGTTGCTCCATACATTATTTGGATAAAAAAACTCTCCTAACAGAAGGACTATTAACTTTCACTATCGCTTTTATTTATTAACCTGGGACAGCAAAAGATTTTTTAAAAATCCAATAATGTTAACAAAGCTAAGTAGCTCATCCTTTGTAAATCCATTGTTCATTGCGTATAGGACATTTTATATTAAAAACCTTAGACAAATTCTAGTTTTGATAGCTACTATAGGATAATTTTGTATTATAAGTCATTTTCTACAGACATACGGCTGTAAGTATGTGATATATATATACCATTTCTTTCTCCGAAAACTCACATAGGAGTTTCCCACCTCTGCCAGCATTAGTATTGGTCATTCTTTTATCACAGGGAGAGGTGAGCCAGCTCACTCTTCCACTGTGTTGAAAAGTAGTGACTCTCATTCCACAGGGGCAAATGATTCAGGAGTGAGATATCACAAAATAACCATGATTTAGAATAAGGATTGTATAAAAACATGACCTTAATGAATAACTCTTCAATAAATACTTCTCATGGTATCAGGTAGATTCAAAGTTTCTTTTGCAGTCTTATGAGGTAGTTGGAAGAGATGAATAGAATTCTGGAATATGGGTCAGATGGCATATTTGAAACCCAGTGGGATAAGCCAGATGGAATGCTGCTTTTCTGCCCATTTATGCATGAATAGAAAATAGTAGGGGGATGGTCCTGAAGCCTGTTGACAATAATGATTTTCCAAAGGTTTCCTGTTGTTCCTGTGGTTGGTGTGTGCATATGTGTGTATGTGTTTGGTGTAGATATATTTAGATTAAAATAGGAGGAGTGACTTTTAAAATAGAAAAAGTGAGTGGATAGCAATTGGCCATCATTGTTATAGATTCGTAATTCCGAAAAACGTGTACCAATTTTAAATAATTATGAGCAAAAAAAAAAAAAAAAAGCAAGCTGTTAAAAAGAAGTTAAGCTCATTAGCATTAGTAAGTACAATGTATTGTGGGACACTTTTTGTGTGAGCGTCACTGAGTGTGGTGCTTTTTTGTGTGCATGTGAGAGAACATTAAAAATAGAAATCAAGTTAGGAAGAAAGGACTTTTACACAGTGAGAATAAAGTAGGATTGAGAAGTAAAGTTTTGGTGGGTTCCTGGGACTTTACCACCCAAAGGACAGTTTGTTCATTCCTAGGCATTTGTCCTTTTCAATTTACACCAGGGGTGGGGGAGGTAGGGTAATGATTTTCAAAGTGGCTATTTCTTGAAAGCTGTAGATTGTTTGTTTGTCTGTTTGTTTGTTTTAACTCAAATAACAAATTAGCATAGTGAATGTTTTAATTCAGCTGGTATAACAAATTATTATAGGCTAAAACAACAAACTGATTTCTCTTGGTTCTGGAGGCTGGAAGTTGAAGATCAAGACACCAGCCAACATGGTTGTGTTCTTGGTGAGGGTCCTTCTCCTGGTTATGTCCTCACATGCCTTACTTTTGTGCATACAGGCAGAGAAAGAGAGAGAGAGAGAAAGAAACTCGCTGTTTTTCCCTCTTTTTTATAAGAGCTCTTATGATTCCATCATGGGGACTCTATCCTCAAAACCTCACGTAAACCTAATTACTTCCCAAAGGCCTCCCCTTCAAATACCATCACACTGGTGATCAGGGCTTCAACACCTGAATTTGAGGGAGACACATTTAGTCCATAGCTGTGAGCCAGAACACACACACACACACACACACACACACACCACCACACATTCATGAACTAAAAGCAAATGTTTCCTCAAACAATATTTATCTTTACCGTGTATCACGCACTAGCAGTTTCCGTTGGTTTTTTATTCTATTCTAGTTACCACTTAAATGCTCATTGTGATCCATTGAATTGGTTTCATGACTCATTAATAGGCTACAAAAACAAAAGCTCTGTCATAGTGAGTCTGATAAATTATTTTTCTAAAATGCTCATCCTTAATCCTCAACATTTACCTATCCTTTTTGACGTTTCTGATCATGAGTCAACAACTCCTGAAATAATCTTTTCCTTCAAAGAATTTCAAAATAGTTATGTAACAATTGTACTATTATAGTTTATTTTGTTGTTCCCTGTTCATTTAAGATAAAATTTTCCTTAAACCAAAAAGCAGCAAATTAGTTAAATAGCAGCAGACAAATAGTAAGAAATGATGTTTATTCTAAGAAAATAGTATCCTCTTGTGTTATGTGAAAACTAGTAAAAGTATCACAAAGCAAGGTGTAGCCAGTGGTCCTCCCTTAACTTGTCATGTGTGGATTTCATGATTCTAAACTTAAGGGGGAGCAAAGAGTGAGATGGGCATGGCATGTATTTTGGCAGTGACTGGCAAGGAGCCAGTGTGATTCACAGTCATTCAACCTGCCGCTCCCTTTGCTTCCTCGTTGGGCTCCAGAATTTTTCAAGTTTAATTCCTTGCTCTTGCCCTGCTTATCATTGTACTTTTACCTTAACCTTGAGCTCAGCAGTCCCAGTTGGTAAAGCTCTGTTACTTGAAGCAACAAGAGAGTTAGAAACTTTTTTGTACTATTTTTTTTGATGAAAATCGTTCACTGCTGGAAACTGTTCTAACTCCCCTTAAGACTTGGTCTATGCTCCTGGATTTTTCAGAAGCCTTTCCTGCCCCCATGGTGCTTTTGAAGAGATTGCTTTTTTCAATTATCTATAGCATATCTTCAAAATGCTCCTGTGAAGGTGTATGTGTTTGCACCTTATGAAATCATTCTAAATACAGCTTGACTGAACACAGCTAAAGGTAAGCCAGAATCAAGAATAACTAATAACTTAGGCCTTAAACAATTAAGGAGCTGAAACAATATAATTGTCCATTTAAAAGACTAATGGCAGTCTTTTATGATCTTTGCTTACTATTTATATACAATTACCATGCGGTACAATATGGATTGTGCATACAATTAAGCACGTGCTAAATGCACTTGTTATAGGTTTTATTTGATTACCACTCTAAACTTTATTCATGTTTATACAATTTCATAGTTCATTGCTCATTTAACATCTGCTCATAATTTTAAAATGGCTGGGAAATTGCTCTGTACTTAGGAATTAAGGGGTAACTTGGCACCAAATAGGAGATTAGATTCCTGAACTCTATACATGACTCATTGAAAAGTGAGCTATGTGACCTTCGAGCATATCATTTAATATTCTGGGTTCTCAGTTTCTCCAAATATATACATTTATAGTAGACAAATAGAGAGATAGAGACATGGATGAGAAAGAGAGACAGAGAGTGTGTGTTTGTTAAATTGCAGCAAAGAGAGAGAACAGAGTTATCAGAGCATGAATAAAAGGGAGGGTTAGTAAACAAACAGGCCATGTTTAAAGACTGTCAGAATAAGTATTTATTAAATAATTTGGTTGAAATTTTTTGCTTAATTGATCACAGTTTAAATCTTACAAAATAAAATTCAGATTTTACACAATCAAAATAAATACAGAATAGCTGGATGCGGTGGCTCATACCTATAATCCCAGCATTTTTGGAGGTCAAGGTCAGTGGACAGCTTGAACCCAGGAATTCGAGACCAGCCTGGGCAACATGGAGAAACCTCATCTCTACTAAAAATACAAAAATTAGCCTGGTGTGGTGGTATGCACCTGTAATCCTAGCTACTTGGGAGGCTGAGGTAGGAGGAGTGCCTGAGTCGGAGGCAGAGTTTTCAGTGAGCCAAAATTGTGCCATTGCACACCAGCCTGGGTGATAGAGCCAGACCTTGTCTCAAAAACAAATAAAGAATAAATGAGATAACTGAACAATGTATTCTTTGTTTCAGTTTATCTTTGTGTTGTGACTTTTGCTTTTGTTCAAGATTATTCTTACAGTTTTGGTGTGGGAAGCTAATAGATTAATCAAATATATAGTTTGTTTTAAAACCTTTGGAATAACATTGTATTCTGTTTTATTTAACTATATAGGTTTCTCGGTAAAGTAAATATCTGAAGTACAAATTATATAACAAAATAATTATAATAAATTAGTGCAATGTATGAAATGTTAAATATGTGAAACAATGGAAGAAGATAATTTCTAAGATCTAATTAAATATAATTTAAGATGTTCTGGAAACATCAGCTGAAAGCAAGGAAGGAAAAAACAGAAAGAACAAGACACTTTTTCTTCTAGATTGTGTCTTCAGTGTTAAATTAGATAACCAGTTCACATACTTGTAATATATTTCAAAATGAGTGGAAATATTTAGACCAGTAATATTATTTTTAAACTGTCAGAAATTAAAACTATTTATTTTGTATCAGTTTTAAATTGTAGGAGGCTGGGTGCAGTTGCTCATGCCTGTAATCCCAGCACTTTGGAAGGCCGAGGCAGGCGGATCACCTGAGGTCGGGAGTTTGAGGCCAGCCTGACCAACATGGAAAAACCCCTTCTGTATTAAAAGTACAAAATAAGCCAGGCGTAGAGGCGCAGGTCTGTAATCCCAACTACTCCGGAGGCTGAGGCAGGAGAATCGCTTGAACCCGGGAGGCAGAGGTTGCGGTGAACCAAGATCGTGCCATTGCACTCCAGCCTGGGCAACAAGAGCGAAATTCCGTCTCAAAAATAAATAAATAAATAAGTAAAAAATAAATAAATAGTAATTTTTATCAGTGTACCTCAGATCGTATAAAAATCTTTACCACTTATGTCAAGAGAGATAATTGTATTGTAATATGGTGATGTCAAAATATTTAATAGTCAAAGATCTGGAATCATTGACTTTCCAAAATAGTCATTCTTGGATCTCATACATATATTCTATTTTCTTTATAGATCAGAATTTTCTGTAGCTTAAAAGTGTATTACCAGTTTGTGTTCATTGTATTTTTTTATACCTTAAATTTTATTTTTTGTCTTAAGAATTTTGTTCTCTTCTCCTAAACATAGTTCAATTATTCCCTTTAATGATGCTATTTTTGGAGTTTTGGCTTCACAGAATTTGAATGTTTTTGTTATATTTTACTAGTTTCCATGACAACATAATCATTTTCTTCTTTGCCTTCTTTGGCTTGAAAAAAATAATTGACAGATGTCTCTTGCTCTCAATACCGTTTACTTTAAAAATTAAATAAAACCATAAATAATAACACTTAGTTGCAAAGTATAGTAGGTAAATTGCCCAACTGAACTAATTAGTCATGTATAAAATTTGAGTTAATAACAACAGATCATGTTTGATATTAAATTTTTCATATAAAGAAGAAAATACGACAACCATGGGTGTGTAGAAGGGAGTTTTGTAATTTCCTTATTTGAAACAAAGGTGACCTGGGATAAATTCTATTTTGTCCATAACTTCAAAGGTAAGAGAAAGAAAGATAACAAAGATAGATTTTACATATTGGTGAAACACTGAAAAACAAGTCTTCTTAGAGACAGGAAAAGGAATCAGAGAAAAGAAATAGATATTGTCACAGTATGTGTAATATGAATGACATTTAGAAATTTAAGTAGCAAAAATGAGTGTTTTCCATTTTATAGTGAGTTCAGTTTTGTTCTCCTTTGCATGGGTTGGGAATAAAGACTGACAAATCAGTGCTTAATAGCAGCATTAATGGTGCTAATTCCTGGCCAATAATAATGGGCAATAGTGAATCATATTTTGTCACCTGCTAATTGTCATGACCAGTGTTAGTAGTTGTAACTGAAGCAGAATATTTGAGGCACTGGAGAGGAAGCAAGATTCAGGAGGTTGCTGCAGAGTAGTCCAGGAAAGTTTTGACACATGCTTAAGTTATACACATTCTCAGTTATGGTAATAGAAATGTCAAGAGTAATCAGTGCTCATGAGCAGCTCATCTCCTTTCTGCACAGCTTTTTTCATAGAGTTCCTTCTATTCTTTTTCAACATCCATCAGTTTAGTTCTTCAGCCACACTTACTACAAAATCCTTCTCCATCTGGAAATATTTTACTTTCCAATTAAAGTGTTGGAGCCTCTAGGTAAAGGCCACTTCCTCACATCTGGGATTAGAAGGTCAACACAGGCATGATAGTTACCCTTGTGATTCTATTATCTTTAACAAAGTTCCCTAAGCATTGCCCTGATTTCAAAAGAATAAAGATGTATCCAGGGTTAGAATTAGGAATATGTCTTGTTGATAAAGCCTTAATTCAAATGACTTAGTTTAAATTATGTTAAAGTGTGGCAGCTATTGCATATTAATATCTTTATATCAAAATATTTTAATTTCTGATTATCTGTACATGTCTCATGCTACTGGTCACTTCTCTGTATTATTTTTATTTGTTTATATTCAACTAGTTAATAATATTAATTAGTTGACATTATTTATAATTAACTATATATTCAATAACCCTAACCAATACTTTAAAATATTTTTAATATGTTGGCATGATACAATTTATCTTTGATTATTTACAGTAATCAAGTTGGCAGTTACTATTTTAAACATTATGGTCTTGCATGTGTCATACTTAACTTTTCTAAAATTATAGCACTTTTATCATTATTTTAAACACTAAAGATATTTCTAAGATTGTTGAATGAATATTTGTAATTTCCCTGTTTATGTATATGGTTGTTACTATGCTATGTTAAACAATTGAGATTTTTAAAAAATTTTCAAAGCTTTCTCTTTTTTTTTGTTGCTTGAGTAAAATAACAGAAATGTAACCATAGCTTTTTGTTTGTTTAACGCAGCCAGCGTTTACCCTAATAATCTAAGTAGAATAAATCAGTGGGAATAACTAACAGACCGTTTTTCCAGAAATAATAAGACAGTTGAAAGAGAATGTGTTGGGGGAGTGCACAGATATTATTTAGATAATTAGCCCTATTTTCCACCTTATCTGGTAAAATTGTGTACTTTTCTTGCAATTTAAATAGACTAATATTAATGGAAGCTTATATGTATAAATATTTATGTGTTAATAGATTTTATAAATGGCTACTAAAATGTTTTATATATAAATATCAAACACATAATTTGCTTTTCTGGAGAATAAATTCTTTTTATATGAAATAAAAATGAAAGATACACTGACAGGTTATTTTGATTTATGAATTATATGACTTTTTAAAAAAATCTACATTTTTGGAATAAAAATGTCTTTACATTGAAATACTATTATCCTAATAAACACTGTATTTTCACAGGTTATTCTCATTTTAATACACAATGAAGCTAACTTACATACGTATGGTACTTTTTAAAATTTTTCATGAATTAAAAGGGATATTTCAGGTTGCTTTTCCCAGTATAGCTATTTTTACACAACAATATCTAGTGATTATAAGCACTTCTTTACAATTTGTGAATAATTCCTATTTTTAAACTTTTCTCTAGAAATCTATTAGTTAAATTTAAGCTGAGCAAATAAGGTGTGTATATTAAGAAATAAATATGTAAGTCTGTTGAGGTTTTATGAACACTTTTTCTTATGAAAGTCTAACTAGTAGAACCATTTGTATACTTGAGTAGATTAATTCAAATAACTTTCTGGTGTACTGCTTAGTATTTAGCATTGTCTATAAAATGTGTGGTTTCTCAAGAAGCTTAAAGTGACTTTCTGAATTGGTGTGTATCTGAAAGCACATGTTTTGATCAGAAATACTCTTTTAATAGTTTAATAGTTACATATATTTAGATATGCTAAAAGCTTCAAATGCTTTCAATCCTAAAATATGCTAATGACCAGTCTGCTAATATTGCTTTATTCAGTGATTCTGTCTCTGTCTTCTGAATAAATTGTGGAACTTGGGAAAGGGTAAGGAAGAGGTAGAGATAAATATCTGTCAAGAACTTTTCATATGTAGGTCAAATTTGTGTATCTTTCACCTTCCAAAGAACTTTTTCTGTAGGATCATCATATTTGCAAACAGTGTAACAAGACTTTCGTGACTTTAGTAATCTCTCTGTATTGTCTGCCTTTGTTTTGCTTGTCTTTCCTAGATAAAATCATTTAACTCTAATCTATAGACTTTCACAGCCCTATATTCTGCAAGCATCTAGACAGCGAGTCAGTCTTATGCCAGCCATTACTTTGATCTCTTACCCTGGTTTCCAGTGCCTGAATCTGATATCATCTCCACTAAATTAACTCTGCTTTGATTCTCTTTGAGAGTATGATTTTTTTTTTCTGAACTGAAAATCCTGTGTAGTACATAATTTTTAGTACATATTTTTCCAGATATTAGAATCTTTTTCTCAAGTCCCAGTATTTATTTTCAGATCTCCATGATTCCACCTTCTTATCAGTCTGGACCTCAGCCCCACTTGTTGATAAACTCAGCTCTAAAGTTGAGACTTCCTGAAATCTCTCATATTTTCTGTTACAGAGCCCTGGCCCAATTTATTGAACCTCTATATGCACCAACAATTCCTTTCACCAAACTAACTGTAATTATAAGACCAGACTAACAAGAGAACTTGAGCAATTTGGCCAGCCTGGTGGGTCTGGACATGCCATATTTATAGAAAACATTTAAAATATCAGCATAAAATTCTTGACTCCTTTTAAAGCATAATGGATTCTTAAATAGAAAAAGCCATATTGCAGTGTTCCACTGTCATAGCTACAAATTGATGATTCTTCCAGTTACATATGGTATCTCCTTGACTTAGTATATCTATTACACATATTTGACAAACAAGCAAGATCAACATATTTTGCCTGCCCACTAAGTATTGATCTTCATTTTAGACACTTTGATCAGATAAAATATAAAATACAAAAAATACATGGCCCCTTCAGGAGTTTATTAACTTACTGGTCAGGCAAAGCACACATGTGTATTTAGGGTGATTGGGCCACCTCAAAGTAAATATATGGAAAATACAGTTACATAATTCTGATTAAATGTAAATATCTGCTCAAAATTGAAGAGATAAAAATGCATGAAGAATTCAAAGAACCCAAAGCGGGTAACGAGTGGCTTACATGATGTTATATTAGATGCTATTAGGGGTTATTCATCAAAAGTCAGTATAGGTCAAAAAAAATCCTCATTGTTATGGAAGTTATTTCCTTAGAAAGTGCACAGTAACAATTTCAGGTTGAGAGTTTCCCTGCCATAGTCTGAGTGATATCAAAAATACATGAGGAGCTTTATGCTGAGTGACATGACACATCAGAACCTATTACTGGCTTTGAGAGTGATTTAGGATTAGAAAGGATATTGTAAAACAAGAAGTTATACAAGTAGTCATTAGTCAAACATACCTTCAGTGTGACGGAAATCAGATAGCAGGATGCACTGGATATTTTAACTACATTTATAACAGGAAACCAAAATATTGATAGAAAATACAACAGAATAAATTATTGGGGGAGAGTGTTTTATAATGGTATAAGTAGTTTCCTCTGAACAAATGTTTCAGGAAACTGTATTTGCCACATGTTTGAATTTCATTTTATCTAATAATAGGAATCATTTTCATAGGCATGTTCAATAGGTTTTTGTGAGACCTCCAAACCTAGTCTGAGAACTTTCACAGCTCCTTCTGAAACAACATGCTTTTATAATGGGGCCCTGTTGCATGTAGGTAAAGCCAAAATTTCAGCCAATCATAGTAGTATTTAGTTTAGTGAGATGAGATCTAGAGTAATTCTAAGGCTTTTAGTATATCCTAGGTTTTCAGGCTCTCCTCACATTGCTCCAGTTTGATATATAAATCTCTTCTCCCTAATTATAAGTGTAGTTTAAATAGTTAAAATGAGAAAAATTTATTGGAACTAAAGTCAAATGAAATATAATTAAATAGGAGGGAATTGTATAACTGTCATTTTTTATATGCAGTGTTGGTTGGTAAAGCAGTTCCAAGTTAATTAATCTACGAGTGTCCTGATTTGTAGTATTTGTTAACTTCTGTGGTATAACTACTTCCTCTTTGGTCAATTTCATTCTACTAATTGGTTCACAAAATTTCCTAATATTTAACAATTGGCACTCATGAGCCAGTAGTGCAGGTTCCAGTACAACATTAATATGCAGTTCTTTAACCTAATAGATGTAGGAGAAGACAGCTTTATTATATAGGATTTCGAGCCTGTAACAAATGCCATTAAGATCAAATATGTTATCACTTTCTGCTTGAGTTTGTTTTGTAAATGTCTGAAGACATAGTTTTCCACTTGGAAGTTCTCTGTATAATAATGATACTGTATCATCAGTACTTGTGTTTCTCTCCACAGCCTATCCACAGTCTCAGTGATTTCTAAGAAAGAACACCCACCCCTATCTCAATCTTTGTGAGATGGCCACCTCCTGGGTTTAAAAATGGACTTTTAACTGGCTGTATCCTCAAACAATAGAATGAAACAAGACATCCTCACTTCATCTTCCCATAACCCTTCTAAATGGAAAACAGCATTTTTATTTTACAGATGAGAAAGCTCAAGCTCAAATTTATTTTTCTAAGATCATTCATACAATAGCTCAGACACTCCCCAGGCTTTTCTTCCTCTTCTTCTTTTTTTTTAACTTAAATTATACAGTGATTTCTGGTTCCAGCAAAAGTGTGGAATGGATGAAAGAGGATTGTCTTCCATTATAATATATAGCCATAATCAAAAGAACCATATTTATGGGTATGAAAAGGAAGAAGGCTTAAGGTCTGAGCAGGGATCCTGCAAACTGATGTTACATAAACACATATTGTATCAGACAAAAGTCCCACAGGCAAGTAGATAAACTTTCAGTGCCCACAGGAGAAGAACTATGTTTTGTCTTGTCCACATAGAGGATGTTAATTTGTATTCTGTCTATCCAAAGAAGCAATAAAGAAGTTTGAAATTGCCTAGATGTTTTGGTAAAGGAAAAGGCAGACCCATTAACAATCAAAGCCCTAGTCTTTTTGCATATTCTGACATTGAATCCAGGTTATATCACCCATTTTGCTGGTCTCCTAAGTGAAGAATATAACCAGTGAGTTATGGAACTGTGAAGATCCTAAGATGCCAATGAAAAGCAGACCAACAAAATCATTCTATAAAACAATTACCATCTATAGAGTATAGAAAAACCACAGGAAAAATTTAAAATTCCTATCGAACATGAGCTAACGATAAAAAAATTTAAAACAAACAATGAAATGCTGCTTCTGAAATGTCAGCAGAAATAAAAAAGAATAGAATTCAAAACTCACAAAGTTTTATAATAAATCAGCTTGTGAGAAATAATAAAGTTAGAATGTTTCACTGATTAAATATAAAAGGGGATTATAATATACAATATAACATATTTTAAATATAAAATTAGAACTTCTAGCAATGAATGTGTATAATAATAAAGTTAAAACACTGATTACATAGATTGGACCTAGTTAAAAAGAGATGTGAGAATGGAGGATGAACTTGAGGAAATTATCAGAGAGAGCAGAAAATGTCTACCAGGTGGAACCTCTGAACTTGATTTTCAGGGTATACTTGAGCATGGGAAAGAGACACATTTTAAAGACATTTCTGGCAATAAATCTTAAGCCAAAATGATAAATAAGGGCAACTACACTGACTGTGAACTCATTCTAAGATATGATTTCTAATGACTCAATATGAAAATGCTGTTTTGTGCATCAATACTTAAAAAATGTTTTATATTTGAGAGAACATTTTTTCTTTGAACACTAGAATCTCTGGCATCTTTTGGTGGTGTGGTGATGTTTATGAGTCAAATGCTGCCTTGATTGTTGATATGGTGTGGCTCTGTGTCCCCACCCAAATCTCATCTCAAGTTGGAATCCCCATGTGTCTCAGGACGGACCAGGTGGGAGGTGATGAGATTCTGGGGACAGATTTCCCTTTTGCTCCTCTCATGACAGTGAGTGAGTTCTTATAGGATCTGATGGTTTAAAAGTACATGGCACTTCTCCCTTCATTCTGTCTCACTCCTGCCACCACATAAGAAGTGCCTTACTTACCCTTCACCTTCCGCCATGATTTACATTTCCTGAGGCCTCAGAGCCATGCTTCCTTTTAAGCTTGCAGAAATGTGAGTCAATTAAACCTCTCTCCTTTGTAAATAACCCAGTCTCAGGTTTTCCTTTATAGCAGTGTGAGAACAGACTACAATTGTTAATTTCAATTATCTGCTTTTGTTTAAATTAAATATGACATTTTAAGTAAAGTATCTAGTATAGTGCCTACCACATGGTCAGAATTAAATAATATGGTAGCTTTTCTTATTTTCTATACAAAATCTAGAATGTATTGCAAAAAGTAGATTCACTAAGTATATTACAACATTTTCAATAAAATAAAATATATCCTGCAATAGAATCTGATGATGAATATGTATTCATACTCCAGGAGTTCTGCAAACTCAGCCTCAGCTCCATGGGGCATATTAATATCCTTAGAATGTGGCTATTGTTCTTATTTCCTAGTCTATAATCTTTCATTGTGCCAGCTAAAAGTCTTACCAATATCTCTCTCTACAAGTTTCTTTCTTCAAATTTAGAGGTACCATGCAAATTCTATTTAAAAAATAAGTGCTACATTCCCTTGGTTTCATAAAAAAGATGATATTAAAATCCCTACTTTAGAGATTAATGTAGTCATTTTCTATTGCTGCATAGCAAATAGCCACAATGTAGTGGCTTAAAACAATGCATCTTTATCAGCGCACAGTTCTGTAGGTCAGAATCTTGGGCACGGTGTGACTGAGTTCTCTTCTCTGGGTGTAACAAAGGTAATATCAAAGTGTAAGTCAGGCTGCATATTCATCTGGAATTCAGAGCCTTCAGGTAAAGTCATGAGATTATGTCATTATTCAGTATCTTGTGACTGTAGAACTGATAACTCCACCTCTTTGCTAGCTGTTAGGTAAGGGTCGCTATCTGCTTCTAAAAGCCACCTGCATTTATTGACACACACCATCCTCCATCTTCGAATTCAGCCATAGAAAATTGCCTTTGTGGTTCCAATCTTCATCACCAGAAGTCCATTCTAAGGCCTCACCTGATTTGGTTAGGCCCATCAGGTTATCATTGTTTAAAGTCATCTGATTTGGGATATTCATTACATCTGCAAAATCTCTTCACAGAAGCATTTACATTAGTGTTTGAGGAGGGAGAAAGCGTGTGCACATCAGTGCATGTACACTATGAAGGCCGTGTTAAAATTCTACCTACCAGAGTTTAAAAACTTAGACTCACAGAAAAATAATGCACCAAAGATAACACAATAGAAGTAGTACAAAACCAGGACAATATTCAATTCCATGTAATTTTATTAATGCAATCACATTATAGTATATTATCCTTTTACCATTATCTTCTAATATTCCTCAGTTACTTAAAGAATTATTGGGGTACATGTGTTTTCTTCTCTGTCTCCCTTTTTCTCTTTTACACCCTTTATTCCCAATGATAATGTATGTATTTATTTATTCATTTATCAATTATTCAACACATTTTAAGGACTTAAGATGAAAGAAATAAATGTAAATGATGCTTATGCCATCCGCTCATGGGAAACTAGGGGGTGGAAGAGTGAAATTGGAAGTAGGAAAACTATTAGGAAGTTATTACAGTAACATAAGTAACATATAATAATTACTTAGGCTACAATGTTATGAACGATGATAAAATGGTGTGATTAGATTCTGGATTTGCATGTGCTTATGTGAGAGAAAAAGAGAAGTCAAGGATGATGACCAAGGCTTTTGTCCTGAGTTTGTTTTAAAATACAGCAGCCATATAATAAGTCAGGAAAGACTCAGGGATGAGTAGACTTTGGCAGCAAGATATGAGAATAAATTTTAAAACTCCAACCCTGTTAATTTTGAAGTTTCTAAAACCTCAATTATTGAATAGGCAGTGGGGTATATGAGTCTTATGTATAGGGATTAGGGCAGGATTGAGTTATAGATATAAGCTTGAGAATCTCTGGCTTAAAGATAATATTTTAAACCAAAAAGTAATTTAGATAAACTAAAAATGTAAATGTCCATAGAGAGCATAAGAATCCATGAATTAACTACTGGGTAACTACAACATTTAAAGGTTAGAAGAATAAAAGCTTTGCAGCAATGTAGACTGTGAATTAGGAGGAGGCTTAAGAGCTAGAATAACTTCAAAGGCCAAGTGAATAAAGTATTTCAAGTTGAACAATTATTTCAGATGGTACTGATAGATTAAAATGGATACTGAGAAAAATTACTATTGAATATGACAACATGGATATGATTGGAGACTTGACAAGAGCAATTTTTATGAAGTATTAATATTTGGAAACAAATGGATTCATAATAGGATGGAAAGTCAGGAATTGCCAACATTGAGTACAGAAAAAATTTCTTAAGAGGTTTTATTATAAGTGAGAAATGAACTGAGATGAGATGGAAATAATAATTTTAGTGAGATGTAAAACAGAACAATTTTTTTGAAAACTAGAATTGTAATACCATGTGTTCTTGCTGATAATGACTTAGACAATAAAAAAGAAAATTGATTACATTGGGTATAAAACTTCAGAATTGGTGTCCTTAGGTGAAGAGTGGATATGCTTCATTGCAGCAGAGTGGTCACATTAGATGGGAGTGCACACATTGCAGAAGGAGGAAAGTATGAGTGCATAATCACTTTTCTGCAGGTTGGTAGCTTCATGGGAAAGCATGTAGAATTTCTCTTTTTAGTGATATCAAAAAGCAAAGTCATCTTATTGCTTCTTTTTATCAGTGATATAAAAAGCAAATGTATTAGCTGAGAATGAGGAATTGACAGAAGGTTTCACACATTTAGAGAGAGAGAAAATAGTAAAATGGTCATCTGGCAAATAGTGAGAATGACTGACTAGTGAAATGTATTAAGCTTGTTAGGTGAAGCTTAAAGATCATCTTCAAATTAGCAGGGATACATTTAATGAATTTGAAATAATGCTAGTCAGTATCATTGTGTGCATTAGATGACTTGGAGACCATTGCCGAGTAGATGGGGATTTGAATTTAACAAGGTTTGAAGATTCAAAAGGAGTATGATAGAGTATGAGATGCAAATAATCTGAGAGTTTCTGTAAGGGAATAATTATAAAGACCCCCAAAGAAAATCTAAGAAAATGGAGAGGTCTGCAGTTAATAGTCAGAACACAGTCTAATGCATGAGTATGGGAACGTGTGGCTGAGGATGGGTTCAGGATAAGTTAACTAGAAGTGAAGTTGTTTAAAAGCTGAGGAACCAGGATATTAACAAGATTCTCTAAGATGTATTGAAATCATTTTAAAATTCTTGTACAACAATTCCATATTATTTCTTGCAGAAACGATCTGGAGTTCTCTAGAAGTCAATTGCTAATTGCTATAAGGAGGGGAAACAGGGAGTGCAGCCTCATGGCATGAGCTTCAAAGGAGTTGATGTTAGAAGAGAAGAAGACGAAATAATGGTCTGCACTAAAAATAAGATGAAAGAAGAAGTCCTCACCTATCTCTAGGCCTAATTGTTAGACTTTATTGGAGATAAAACAGCCAACATTTTAAAGGACTCCAGGGGGTCGGTGAACTCAACGGGAGGGTTAGCTGAAGGTCTGTGAGTTACAGAGAGTGTGGAAGAGGAGAGTTCTTGGGCTTGAGAGCAGAAAACCAGAAAATTCACTGAGCTCTTGAGAGAGTAGAGTTCTAGGTAAGATGGGATCCCTGGGAACATTGAGTTTCCTGTGGTGACCGACCTAAGCAGAGATAAAGGATTTGATGGCATTAATCCTTATGACCTCTATTAGGCAGCTATTGTGAGTGTGGTTTTAGTGTCTGTGGAGGTGGAGTAGCTGGAATAATTTTACCAGCATAACTCAGAACTTTGAGAGATTTAACCTTAGGAAATCCAAGTCACACTCTCACTATTGCTGACCCCGTTGAAGCTGGTAGAGAAATATTAATATGGAAAAATCATTCAGAATCTCTCTCTTTCTCAAAAGGAAATGACCACATAAAATGTAGGTATGAGAAATTCTAGGAGTTACTCCCATCCTCATACAATGAGGCTGCACTCCCTGTTAGAGGACGTAGTAACTCTGTACTTCCTAATAAAAGAAATTATGCTTTAAAGAATATTTTCAGACACCCCAGAATCTTATAGTAGCAATTGCTAAAGCCGTTGAAATATGTACTCAAAAGCTCTTTTCTAAATTTTTGTAATATGATTTGTCTACTTCCTGTTTCTGTTCTTTGTTTTCAGGACACCGAAATTCACAATTTCCACAACAGTATTAATCAGCTACTAAGGATTCAGTTAAGTGTTCTATATTGATATTAGTTAATTTCTAGTGTTGCAATATTCATATTCATATTCATTATTCCAAATATTAAATATAATGCTATTATGAATAGGCTATAGACTCAGGAAAATTGACCAGAAAACTTAACTCACATATTTTCAATAAATAACCCAGACCTAAAAATTCAGCAATAATTGTCTATATAAATTGCACCCCAGAGCAAGAGTATGTATAGCAAACATACAAACTTGTGCTCTGGAACACAAATGTACAGAAAACTTTTTAAGTTTTGTCTTAAAAATACATTTTAAGGCAAAAACTATGGAAAGAGACAAAGGAGGTCATCATATAGTGATAAAGAAATCAATTCAGCAAAAGAATATAACAATTCTAAATATATATGCCTCAACACTGAAGCACTCAGATATATAATGTGAATATTATTAGAACTAAAGAGAGAAAAAGATCCAAATAAAATAATAGCTGGAGACATCAACAGCCTACTTTCAGCACTGGACATATTTACCAGACAGAAAACTGACAAAGAAACACTGAACTTAATCTGCATTGTAGACAAAACTGACATAATAGATATTTAAAGAACATTTTTTCCAATAGCTGCAGGAATCACATTCTTCTCCCGAAGGAGAAGAATGGACCATTCTCAAGGATAGACCATATGTTAGGATACAAAACATACTCTTTAAAGGATCAAAAAAATTGAAATTTTATCAAGTATCTTCGCTGACCACAATTTTTTTAAAAAAGAGTATTTGTGTAGTTTTATCCGACTATACAAATAGTATCCAATTATACTATTTGTATAGTCGGATAAAACTACACAAACACATGAAAATTATACAAACACATTAAACTATACAAACTATAGTTTGGAAACTATACAAACACATGAAACTATATAAACACATGAAATTTAAACAATATGCTCCTTAATGACTGATGGGTCAATACAAATGTTAAGGACATTTTAAAATTCCTTGAAACAAATAAAAATGAAAACACAACATACCAAAACCTATGGGATACAGTGAAAGCAGTACTAACAGGAAAGTTTATAGCAGTAAGTGCCTACATCAAGAAACTAGAAAAATATCAATTAAACAACCCAGTAATGCATCTTAAAGAAATAGAAAAGCAAGAGCACAGAAATCCTAAAATTAGTAGAAAAGAAATAATACAGATCTGAGCAGAAATCAAAGATATTAAAACCAAAAATCCACAAAATATCAGCAAAATCAAAAGTTGGTTTTTTGAATAAACAAAATCAACAAATCTTTAGCCAGACTAAGAAAAACAGAGAAGATTCAAATAAAGAAAATCAGAGATTTTAAAAAAGGACACATTATGATTGATACTGAAGAAATTCAAAGAATCATCAGAGATTATGAGCAACTATATGCCAACAAGTTGGACAACCTAGAAGAAATGGATGAATTCCTAAATACATATATGCTACCAAGACTGAACTATAAAGAAACACTCTGGATAAAATTCAACATCCCTTCATATAAAAACCTTCAAAAAACTGACGTATAGAAAGGAGCATACCGCCACACAATAAAAGCCATGTATGACAGACACATAGCTAGTATCATACTGAATGGTGAAAAACTGGACACTTTTTCTCTAAGATCTGGAACAAGACAAGGATGTTCCACTTTTACCTCTGTTATTCAACACAGTACCAGAAGCCCTAGCTAGAGAAATCAGAAAAGAGAAAGAAATAAACAGCATCTAAATTGGAAAAAAAGAAGTAAAATTATCTTTGCAGATGACATAATTTTATATTTAAGAAAGCCTAAAAACTCCATGAAAACACTATTAGAACTAATAAATTCTGTAAACTTGCAGAATATAAAATCAGCATACAAAAATCAATACATTTTTGTATGCCAACAGTGAACAATCTGAAAAAGAAACCAAAAAAGTAATCTCATTTACAATAGCTAAAAACAAGACACCTATGAATAAAGCACAGGCAACCAAAGCAAAAATAGACAAATGGGATAACATCAAGTTAAAAGGCTTCTGCACAGCAAAGGAAACAATCAACAAAGTGAAGAGACAACCAACAAACTGGGAGAAAATATTTGTAAACTATCCATCTGACAAGGGATTAATAACCAGAATATATAAAGAACACAAAAAAACTCCATAAAAAAAATCTAACAATCTGTTTTAAAAATGGGCAAAAGACCTGAATAGATACTTCTCAAAAGAGGACATACAAATAGAAAATAGGTATACAAAAATGTATTCAACATTGTGGATCATCAGAGAAATACAAATTAAAACTACAATGAGAAATTATCTCATCCCAGTAAAAATGGCTGTTTTCCAAAAAGAAGACAATAACAAATGCTGGTGAGGATGTGGAGGAAAGGAAATTCTCACACACTGTTGGTGGAAATGTAAATTAATACAGCCACTGTGAAGAACAGTTTGGAGGTTTCTCAAAAAACTAAAAGTAGAATTACTCAGCAATCCCACTGCTATGTATATATCCAAAAGAAAGGAAATCAGTATATTAAAGAGATATTTGCACTCCTATGTTTACTGCAGTATAATTCACAATAGCGAAGATTTAGAATTAAACTGAATATCTATTAACAGAAAAATGGATAAATAAAACAGGGTATATATACATGATGGAGGAATATTTGGCCATGAAAAAGAATGAGAGTCTGTCATCTGCAACAACATGAATGGAACTGCAGCACTGTTAAGTGAAATATGCCAGGCACAGAAAGACAAACATCACATGCCCTTGCTCCTTTGTGGGAGTGAAGAAATAAAACAACTGAACTCATGGTGATAGAGAGTAGAATGATGGTTGCCAGAGACCAGAAAGAGTGACAAGGGGGCAAGTGGGAATGGTCAATGAGTACAAAAATATAGTTAGATAGAATAAACAAGACCTAGCATTTCATAGCACAATAGGGTGACTACAGTCAACAATAGTTTATTGTGCCTTTTAAAATAAATAAAAGAGTATAATTGGTATATTTATAACACAAAGAAATGATAGATCTTTGAAATGACGCATACCCCATTTTCCCTGTGATTACTATGCATTGTATGCTTGTATCAAAATATCTCACATACCTAAAAATATATATATATACTTATTATGTACTAATAAAATTAAAAGTAAATAAAATTCAAAAAATTGTGCCCATGCATCTTTGTGTTCATGTACTTTTACATACGTGTGTATGTATATTTCAGGAGAGTTTTCTAAGGTGGCCCTGGACCAAAAAGTTACTTTTATTTTCTCACTTGTAGTTCTAAAGAATAACTGTAGAATATGCTGGGCATGCAATACGTTGTGATAAGGGACAGCTGACCAGAACAGCCTGGGCCCTATTTCAGTCCCTCAGTAGAAACAGAATGTCCTTCAATGCTCTTGTGCAGTGATTCACTTTGTCCTGAGGTGTAAAACACGGGGGTGGGGGTGCTTTCTTTCGTGACAATAATTCCTCAGTTGTGGTGCAAGTGGTACATGTGCAGTCAGAATTCAACCATTCTGGACAGTTTTCTGAGCATTGAGATCAGCTCACAGTGAGCCTTAGGCTTCTATTTTGCATTGCTGCCTATCTGTAAGCAATAAATTCATTTCATGTAACAAGTAACTTGGTAACTTGTTGCATATGATTGTGTTCTGTCTCATCAAAATCAGAGAAGCTGGTAAACAATGCACAGTGGTCCTGCTTCATACATATATAAGAATATGAATAAGTATGTAGATGAAATGACCAGGGTCTATTTTGTCTTGACCCAAGAAGCGAAGCAGTGACTCCACTGAGCCAAAATGCCTTCCCAACAACCCTACCCAGGCAAGCAGATTCCCACCTCTGTGCATTTTAGAGATTACAGGCTGGATCTGCTTACTTCAGGAGGTCAAACAGCAACTCTACTGAGACAAAAGCTCACCCCATGGCTCCACCCTGACAGAGAGACTATCCTCAACTGTGCATTTCCAAAGAGAACAGCCTCTGGACCCCCCCGTCCTGAGCAGCAACTGCACCTAACTTCAGGGATCAGCATGCGTTCCTGCTAAACTGCAGATCCTCATAGCAAAATTGTCTGGCTAGGAAATACATCTTGTGATTGACATGACACAAGGAGCTATTGCAGTACTTAGCGAGAAGCTTCACCTGATAGCCAAACTCAGCCACTGATCTCACCATACAGTGTAGAGCACCTCCAGCCCCATCCAACCTCAGAATAAAGACAATGACCCATCTAAGTGGAGAACTGACAACAATTTCTGCCTGCCTAGTGTCATCAACAGCTGACCCTTCCAGAATCATAGAATATACTGAATAGTGAGGGTCTATCTCTAACAAAACAAACAAAACAAAATGAAAACAAAACTACCTATAAACCCAGAAGAAGGAGCTGTCTTCTCAAATGTGCAGACAATTATGCAGACACAAGGATTAAGACCATTCGTGGAACAATGACTCCTCCTAAAGAAACTGCCAACAATGAACCCTGCAAAAATAGAGGTTTAGGAATTTTTGTCAGACAATTCAGAATAATACTCAAAGAAGGTCAGAGCATGGTAAGAATATATGAGTTAAAAACTGGATGAAATTTGAAAAATAATACATGAAAAAAGTCAGAAGGTAGACAAAAAATAGAAACAATTATAAAGAACTGGATAGAAATAGTAGAGATGAGGAACGGAATGAATGAACAAAAAGCTTCACAAAACAGCTTGAATAACAAACTTGGTCATGTAGAAGAAAGAATCAGTGATGTGGAAGATGGAAGAATTAAAATTATCCAATCAGGAAGCAAAAAGATAGAAACAATTTTAAAAGTATCCATTCAGGAAGCAAAAAGAAAAATACAATTTAAAAATGAAGAAAGCCAATAGGAATTATGGGACACCATTATGGGACAAAACTTTGGCATAATAGGAGTTTCATGAGGAGAATAATTTCTTTAAAGGGACTAGAAAGCATATTTATAGAAATAATAGATGAAAACGTTTCTATTTTGGAGATAGATACCAATACCCAGGTACAAGATAGGCAGAAGTCTCCAATCAAATTCAACTGAGAGAGGATAACACTAAGACACATAACAATCAAATGATCAAGAATCAAAGACAAAATATCAAAATCAAAGACAAAAAATTCTGAGAGCCCCAAAAGATAAATAATGCATGACATACAGAGGAACGCTGTGTTAATCCATTTGTGTTGCTATAAAGAAATATCTGAGCCTGGGCAATTTATAAAGAAAAGAGGTTGAGTTCAGTTCACAGTTCTACACACTGTACAGGAAGCATGGTGCCAGCATATAATTCTGGTGAGGCCTCAGGAAGCTTACAGTCATGGTGGAAGGAGAAGGAGGAGCAGGCATGTCACATGATGAGAAGGAGTAATACAGTGAGGAAGTGCCAGGGTTTTTGAACAACCAACTTTCATGTGAACTGATAACTTATTTCTTATAATGGGGAAAGTGCCAAGCCATTCATGAAGGATCCTCCCTTATGAACCAAACACCTCCCATCAGGCCCTATCTCCAACACTGGAGATCACATTTCAACATGAGATTTGAAGAGGACAAAACATTGAAACCATATTATTCCACTCCTGGCTCCTCAAATCTCATATTCTTCTCAGATTGCAAAATACAATAATCCCTATCCAGTAGTCCCTCAAAATCTTAACTTTTTCCAGCATCACTCAGAAACCCCAAATTCAGTCTCATCTGGAACTCAAGGTAAGTTCCTTCCACCTATGAGCCTATAAAATAAAAATTTTTTAAAAGCTATTTACTTCCAAGATACAATGGCGGCACAGGAATTTGGTACACATTCCTATTCCAAAACAGAGAAATTGGCTAAAAGAAAGCGGTAACATTTCCCATACAATCTGAACCCCAGCAGGGCAGTTATTAAATCTTAAAGCTCCAAAATAATCTCCTTTGCCATTCTGTCCTGAATCCAGGGAACACTGGTGCAAGGAGTGGGCTTCCATGGCCTTAAGCAGCTCTACCTCTGTGGCTTTGCAGAGTGCAGCTCCCCAGGCTGCTCACATAGGTTGGAGTTGAGTGCCTTTGGCTTTTCCAGGCTCAGGGTGCAAACTGCCAGTGGCTCTACCATTCTGGGTTCTTGAGGGTGGCAGCCCCCTTACCACAGCTCCAATAGGCAGTGTCCTCGTGGAGACTCTGTGTGGGGGCTCTAACTCGACATTTCTCCTGAGCATTGCCCTAGTAGAGGCTCTGCCATAGTTCCATTCTTGTAGCAGACTTCTGCCTGGACACCCAGGCTTTCCCATACATCCTCTGAAATCTAGCTGGAACCTGCTCAGCCTCCTTGGCTGGAACTGCCAAGCAAGTCTTACATGCTATGCACTTGCAGGCTTAATATCACATGGAAGCTACCAGAACTTAGAGTAGCTTGTGCCCTTCAGAGCACAAGTATATCTGTGGCAGCTTGAAGTATATCTGTGGTCCTTTGAGCCAAGGTTGGAGCCAGAGTGGCCTGGATGCAGGGAACAGTGCCCTGAGGCTGCACAAGGTGGCAAGGCCATATGCCTGGTTTCCAGAATAATTTTTTCCTCCTAGGCCCCTGAACCTGTGATAAGAAAGGCTGTCTCAAAGATCTCTGAAATGCCTTCAAAGCCTTTTCTTCATTGTCTTGAATATTAGCACTTGGCCCCCTTTTAGGCATGCAAATCTCTCCCTAGCAAGTTGTAGCTCAGCACCCCACCTGAGTTCCTTTCCTAAAAATATTAATTTCTTCTCTACCATATAATCAGCTTGCAAATTTTCCAAGAGCTTTTCATTCCTCCTCCTTTTTAATTACAAATTCCAACTTCAAGTCATTCCTTTGTTCCCATATCTGATTGTAGACATTAGAAGCAGCCAGGCCACATATTGACCACTTTGCTACTTAGAAATATTTTTCAGCCAGTATACGCTAATTCGTCACTCTTAAGTTCAACCTTCCACAGATCCCTAGCACATGAACACAATGCAGCCAACTTCTCTGTTAAGGTTTAGCATGGGTGAGCTTAACTGAAGTTCCCCATAACTTCCCCACTGCCATCTGAGACCTTAGCCTGTCTTTGCCCATATTTCTACCAGTATTTTGGTCACAACCACTTAATAAGTCTCTAAGAAGTTTCAACTTTCCCTTTTCTTCCTTTCTTCTGAGACCTCCAAACACTTCCAACCTCTGCCTGTTAGCCAGTTCCAAAGCCATTTTCACATCTTCAGCTATCTTTATAGCAATGTCCCACTGCTCAGTACCAATTTTCTATGTTAGTCCACATCTATTTCTATAAAGAAATACCTAAGACTGGGTAATTTATAAAGAAATGAAGTTTATTTTGTCTCATGATTCTGTAGACTGTATCATAAGCATGGTGCCAACATCTGCTTCTTGTAATGCTTCAGGAAGCTTACAATCATGATGGAAGGTGAAGGGGAAGCAAGCATGTCATATGGTGAGAGAGAGTAAGAAAGAGTGGGGAGGAGGTGCCAGACTTTTTAAACAACCAGATTTAATGGGGACTGAATGAGAACTCACTCATTACCATGGAAATGGCATCAAGTCATTTACCTCCTCCATAACTTAAGCATCTCCCATCAGGCCCCACCTGCAACACTGGATGTCACATTTTAACATGAGATTTGGAGGGGTAAATACTACCAAGCCATTTAAAATGCCAATACAACTGTCCATGAATTTTCAGCTTAGAAAGCTGAAGAGAGTGGAATAAGATATTCAAAGTGCTGAAGGAAAAAACCTTCCACCAAGAATATCTTATCCAATAAAGCTATCTTTCAGAAATGAGTGAGAAAAGACTATATAAGAATAACAAGAACCCAGGGAATATATCACCACTAAACTTGCCTTGCAGAAATTGCTAGAGGTAGTTCTTTATACTGCAACAAAAAGCTCCTAAGTAATAGCATTAAACATATGAAAGTACAAAACTCAATGGTGTAAGTAAAAAGTGCCATTTTTTGGAATACTCTAGGACTCTAATGATGACGTGCAAGCGTTAAAAGATAAAACTGTTAACAAAGGCTAAAATAAATTGTCAAAAGATACACATTACAAAATTCCAATTGCATTTTTCACAAAAATAGAAAAGACAATTCTAAAATTCATATGGATTGTGAAAGACCCCACATAGCCATAACAATATTGAGGAAGAAAAGCAAAGTTGGACACTTCATACTTCTGATTTTTATATTATAAATTACAAATTATACTGCAAAATTATAGTAATCAATGAAGTATGGTACTGACATAAAAACAAACAGATTAATGGAACAGAATAGGGAAACCAAGGATATACAGTCAACTGATTTTTGACAAGGCCACCAAGAAGACACAATAGAGAAAAAAACAAATGGTATCTTCAATAAATACTGTTGGGAAAACCAGATATCCACATGCAAAGGAACTAACCTGTATTCTTATACTGTCCATGAAACTGCAAATCTCCTAGGAGAAAATAGGAAAAGGCTTTGGCCTTTGCCATGACTATTTTTGGATATCACACCAAAGCTCAGGCAAAAAAAGCAAACATAAACAAGTAGGACTACATTAAAATAAAAAGCTTTTGTGGAGCAAAGGAAACAATCAAGAAAATGAAAAAGCAGTCTATGGATTGGGAGATAACATTTGCAAACTATATATCTGATAAGGGGTTAATATCCAAAATATATAATGAACTCACATAACTTGATAACAAAGAATAAATAAACATAAAAAAATAAAATAAGCCATGGATCTGAATAGATATTTCTCCAAAGAAAACATGAAAAATGGCCAACAGGTCACTGAACTAGCCTTAAGAAAATGGTCAGTAGGTATTTGATGAGGTGCTCCACGTTATTAACTATCAGAGATATGCAAATCAAAACATCAAGGTATCATCCCACTCCTTTTAGTATGGCTATTGTCAAAATGACAAGAAATTACAATTGTAGTTAAGAGTAAAAGGGAAAAAAAAACACCCTTGTACACTTTTGGTGGGAATATAAACTGGCACAACCATTAGGTGAAACAGTATTGCATTTCAAAAAATTAAAAGATAAACCAACTGTGTGACTCAATAATCCCTGTCCTGGGTATATACCCAAACAAAATAAAATCACTACCTCATAGAGGTATCTGCACTCCCTTATTCACTGCAGCATTACTCACAATAGCCAAGCTGTTGGGTCAGGCATAGTGGCTCATGGCTTTAATCCCAGCACTTTGGGAGGCTGAGGCAGAAGGAATGCTTGAGGCCAGGAGTTTAAGACCCAACTTGTGCAACTCATGGAGACCCCACTTCTACAAAAAATCAATAATAAAAAATAGCTAGGTGTGGAGGTGTGCACTTGTGGTTTTAACTACTGGGGAAGCTGAGGCAGGAGGATGCCTTGAGTCCTTCAGTTCAAAGCTCTGGTGAGCTATGACTACATCATTGCATTCCAGCCTGGGCGACAGAGTGAGACTCTGTCTCTAAAATAAAAATAAAATATCTGGAAACAATCTAAGTTCCCATTTACAGGTGAATGTATAAGGAAACTATGGTTTCTTTATACATTTAAACATATATATATATATGTTTATATATATATATATATAAAATGGGATATTATATATATATATATATATATATATATATATAAAATGGGATATTATTCAGCATTAAAAAAGCACATACTGCCATTCCCAACTGCAATAAGTCAGACAGAGAAAGAAAATTACTGCAGGATCTCACTTATATGTGGAATCTGAAAACAAAACAGAACAATAAATACATAGAGACAGGTAGTAGAACTGCAGTGACCAGGGGTGGGAAGAGGGAGAAAATGAGAAGATGCAGATCAAAAGGCACCAACTTACATTTATGTAAGATGAACAAATCTAGAGATATATTGTACAGCACGAGGGCAAACTAAGAATATTCTATCTTATAGTGAAAATTTGCTGAGAGAATAGTTTTAAGCACTCTTATTCACACGTGTACTTGTGAAGAGACCACCAAACAGGCTTTGTGTGAGCATTAAAGCTTTTTAATCACCTGGGTGCAGGCGGGCTGAGTTCGAAAAGAGAGCCAGCAAAGGGAGATAGAGGTGGGACCGTTTTATAGGATTAGGGTAGGTAGTGGAAAATTACAGTCAAAGGGGGTTTTTCTTTTATGGGCAGGGGCAGGGGTCACAATGTGCTCAGTGGGGGAGGTTCTGAGCCAGGAGAAGGAATTTCACAAAGTTGATTGCTCAATTAAGTTGGGGCAGGAACAAATCACAATGGTGGAATGTCATCAGTTAAGGCTGGAACCAGCCGTTTTCACTTCTTTTGTGATTCTTCACTTGCTTCAGGCCATCTGGACATACACGTGCAGGTCACAAGGGATACGATGGCTTAGGTTGGGCTCAGAGGCCTGACATTCCTGCCTTCTTATATTAACAAGAAAAATAACATAAAATAGTATTGAAGTGTTGGGGCAGCGAAAATTTTTGGGGGGGTGGTATGGAGAAATAATGGGTGATGTTTCTCAGGGCTTCTTTGAGCAGGATTAGGGGCAGCGTGGGAACCTAGAGTGGGAGAGATTAAGTCGAAGGAAGATTTTGTGGTAAGAGGTGATATTGTGGTGTTGTTAGGAGTATTTGTTATATAGAATGATTGGTGATGGCCTGGATATGGTTTTGGATGAATTGAGAAACTAAACGGAAGACACAAGGTCCAAATAAGAGAAAGAGAAAAACAGGTATTAAAGGATAAGAATTCGAAGGACCCAGGACATCCAATTAGAGAGTGCCCAAGGGGGTTCAGCGTAATTACTGGCTTGTTTGGTGAGTTTTTGGGCTCTATCCTTGAGTTTTTTTATGTTGTCATACACCAGGCCAGATTGATTTAGGTAAAAACAACACTCTTCATTTAAAAATATACAATCCTCTTTTTTTTAGCACTGAGTAAGTTGAGGCCTCAGCGATTTTGGAGGAAAGAGAAATGCAAAGCCAGCAATTGTTTGTTAAAGGAGGATTAGAAACCGCTAAGAGAGAGTGAGTGAGATTGATAGTGTGGTGGAGATAGCTGGGGAGAGGTAGAGGGTGGCATAAAAATGGGAAAGAGAATAAGAGTGAGTATAAAAGTAAAGAATAGGACTTCATCAGCGTGAAAGTATTGGAGTGTGTCCTGCCAGCAAATATTATTCATTTACTTTAAGAGCGAGTTAAGAGTGGTGGTTTGGGGATAGCACCAGGTGATATCAGCTATGATGGCTTGGAGAAACAGTGTAAACAGGCAGTGTAAACAAGAGCAGGGCATTTATGAGTAGTTGAGAACAGTGAATAGGAGTATGAGGAGTATGACTAGACAGAAGATAGTAGGAATGACAAGTTTTTGGAGTGAAGTCCAAGTTGGGCTGGTGTCTGGAATGAGACTGGGGCCTAAAAAAAAAAGGAGCGTCCATACAGGAGCTCAAATGGGCTGTACCCTGTAACATTCCGAGGACAGGCCCAAATTCTGAGAAGGGCAAGTGGTAAAAGTAATGTCCAGTCCTTTTTAAGTAGGAAGCTGAGCTCGGTGAGGTGTGTCTTTAAAAGACCATTAGTCTGTTTTACTTTTTCTGAAGATTGAGGATGGTAAGGGGTGTGAAGGTTTTACTGAATACCTAGAGCCTGAGAAACTGCTTGGTGATTTGACTAATAAAGGCCGGTCCGTTATTGGGCTGTATAGAGGTGGGAAGGCCAAACTGAGGAATTATGTCTGACAGAAGGGAAGAAATGACCATGGTGGCCTTCTCAGACCCTGCGGGAAAGGTCTCTACCCATCCAGTGAAAGTGTCTACCCAGACCAAGAGGTATTTTAGTTTCCTGACTTGGGGCATGTGAGTAAAGTCATTTTGCCAGTCCTGGTCAGGGACAAATCCCTGAGCTTGATGTGTAGGGAAGGGAGGGAGCCTGAACAATCCCTGAGGGGTAGTAGAATAGCAGATGGAACACTGAGAAGTGATTTCCTTGAGGATAGATTTCCACGATGGAAAGGAAATGAGAGGTTCTAAGAGGTGGGCTAGCAGCTTGTAACCTACATGGAAGAGGTTATGAAATGACAACAGAATAGAATGGGCCTGTGAGGCTTTAAGGAGATATTTTCATTGGTCTAAGAACCATTTGCCTTGTGTGGGAAGAGATTGATAGGTAGAAGTTTCAGTTGGGGAGTATGTGGGAGTGACCAATGAGAAGGAGAAAAACTGGCCATGAGGGGCAGAAATTGGAACACTAGCTGCTTCTTTAGCTACCTTATCAGCATAAGCATCGCCTAGAGCAATGGGATCTGACGCCTTTTGATGGCCCTTCCAGTGAATGACTCCAACTTCCTTTGGAAGTAAAGCGGCCTTCAGAAGAGTTTTTATTAAAGAGGTATTAATGATGGAGGACCTATGTGTAGTGAGGAAACCTCTTTCTGCCCATATAACCATATGGTGGTACAGGATATGGAAGGCATATTTAGAGTCATTATAAATATTGACGCATAGTTCATTTGCAAGAGTGAGGGCTTGAGTTAAGTTAATGAGTTTGGCTTGCTGAGAGGTAGTGGAGGACGGCAGAGTGGTAGCCTCAATGATAGATGTGGAAGATACTATAGCATAGCCTGCCTTTGCTGGTGAGTGACAATTAGGCCTGGTGGAACTGCTATCAATAAACCAAGTGTGGTCAGGGTGAGGAACAGGAGAGAAGGAAATATGGGGAAATGGGGTGAATGTCAGGTGGATCAGAGAGATACAGTCATGGAGGTCAGGTGTGGTATCCGGAATAATGTGGGAGGCCAGATTGAAGTCGGGGCCAGGAACAATGGTAATTGTGGGAGACTCAATGAAGAGTGAGTATAGCTGAAGGAGCCAGGGAGCAGAAAGTATATGCATCAGGTGTGAGGAAGAAAATAGATTCTGGAAGTTATGAGAGCTGTAGAGAGTGAGTTGAGCATGGTTTGTGATTTTTAGGGCCTCTAAAAGTATTACGGCAGTGACAGCTGCCGCACAGAGACATGATGGCCAGCCCAAAACAGTAAGGTCAAGTTATTTGGACAAAAAGGCTATAGGGCGCAATCCCAGTCTTTGTATAAGAATTCCGACTGCAAAGCCCTGCACTTTGGCTGTGTGTAATGAAAAGGGTTGGGATGAGTCAGGGAGAGCTAGTGTGGGAGCAGTCTCTAAGGCTGTCTTCAAGGGATGGAAAGAGGAGTAGGGAAAGGATTTAGGATGTATGGGGTCAGCTAGGTTTCCTTTTGTGAGTTTATATAATGGTTTTGTTAGGATGGTAAAACCAGGTATCCAAAGGCAAAAGTATCCAACCATGCCTAAGAAGGAAAGAAGTTGTTGTTTTGTAGAAGGGGTTGGGGTTTGAGACATCAGTCGGACACAATCGGCAGGAAGAGCACATGTGTTTTTATGAAGAATTATGCTGAGGTAGGTAACAGATGGAGAAGAAATTTGAGCTTTGGAGGGGGATACCCGATACCCTTTGAAGAATAAATGCTGAAGGAGCAGGAGGTTGTCTTGTTGAGAAGATTCAAAGGAGGGGCTACAAAGTAGAAGGTCATCAATATATTGAATAAGGTGAGAAGTGGAGGGGTGGAAAGAAAGTAAGTCATGAGAAAGAGCTTGGCTGAAGTAATGAGGGCTGTCCCTGAAGCCTTGTGGCAGTACAGCCCAGGTAAGCTACTGGAACTGATGGGTGTCAGGGTCAGTCCAGGTAAAAGCAAAGAGAGTTTGAGATGAGGGGTGCAGGAGAATAGTGAAAAAAGCATCTTTAAGATAAAGAGCGGAATAGTGAGTTGTGGAGGAAGGTATTGAGGACAAAAGAGTGTACGGGTTGGGCACTACAGGGTGGAGAGGGAAAACAATTTGGTTGATAAGGCGCAAATCCCGAACCAACCTGTAATACTTGTCTGGTTTTTGGACAGGTAAAATGGTGGAATTGTAAGGAGAGTTTATAGATTTTAGAAGCCCATGCTGTAGCAGGCGAGTGATAACAGGCTTCAATCCCTTTAAAGCCTGTTATGGGATGGGGTACTGGTGCTGAGTGGGGTAAGGGTGATTAGGTTTTAATGGGATAGTAATGGGCATGTGATCAGTTGCCAGGGAGGGAGTAGAGGTGTCCCATACTTGTGGGTGAAGTTGGGGGGATATGAGAGGAGGATGCGAAGGAGGCTTTGAACTGGGGAAAAGGCGGCAATGATGTGTGGCTGTAGCCCAGGAATAGTCAGGGAAGTAGATAATTTAGTTAAAATGTCTCATCCTAATAAGGGAACTGGGCAGGTGGGGATAACTAAAAAAGAGTGCATAAAAGAATGTTGTCCAAGTTGGCACCAGAGTTGGAGAGTTTTAAGAGGTTTAGAAGCCTGGCCATCAATAACCACATCAGTTATGGAGGCAAAGGAAATAGGCCTTTGAAAAGAAGGTAATGTGGAGTGGGTAGCCTCTGTATTGATTAAGAAGGGGATGGACTTACCCTCTACTGTAAGAGTTACCCAAAGCATCTGTGATGGTCCAGGAGGCTTCCAAGATGATCAGGCAGCATCAGTCTTCAGCCGCTAAGCTGAGAAGATCTGGGAAGGAGTCAGTCAGAGAGCCTTGGGCCAGAGTTCCAGGAGCTCTGGGAGAGGCTGCCTGGCGAGTTAACAGTCCGATTTCCAGTGGGGTCTCGCATAGATGGGACACAGCTTAGGAGGAATCCTGGGCTGTGGGCACTCCTTGGACCAGTGGCCAGATTTCTGGCACTTGAAGTAAGATCCTGCGGGAGGAGGAGTAAGATCCTGAAGGAACAGCTGACCACAGTGGCTTAGGTGTTTCGAAGTTCTTGTGTGCTGGAGATGTGGCTGGGGTTTGTCTCACAGTGGAGGCAAGGAATTGTAACTCAGAAATATGTTGCTACTCGGCTGCCTCTACACCTTGTAGGCCTTGTATTGTACACCTGGTATTGTACACCTTGTACACCTTGAAGGTGAGCTTAATTAAGTGCTGTTGTGGGGCTTGAGGGCTGGAATCTAATTTTTGGAGTTTTATTTAATGTCGGGAGCAGATTGGGTAATAAAATGCATATTGAGAATAAGACGGCCTTCTGGCCCTTCAGGGTCTAGGGCTGTAAAGCATCTCAGGTGTGCTGCCAAAAGAGCCATGAACTGGGCTGGGTTTTTACATTTGATGAAAAAGAGCCTAAATGCTAACTGATTTGGGAGAGGTCAGATAAAGAAAAAGGAGCATTACCCTTGACTATGCGTTTAGCTCCAGCCACCTTTTAAAGAGGAAATTGTTGGGCAGGTGGGGGAGGGCTAGTCGTGGAATGAAACTGTAAGCCAGATGGGGTGTGAGGAGGGGAGGTAATAGAAGGATTATAGGGTGGGAGAGTGGAGGCTAAGGAAGAATTGGGACCTGGCTCGACCTGGCGAGGAGCAGCCTGGGGAGGAGGGGAGAGGTCAGATGGGTCCTTAGAAAAGGAAGATTGGAAAGACTCAGCAACACTTGGGGTTGGGACTGAGGGGACAGGTGGGAGGGAAAGAAGAAGATTTGGGACGAGCTGCATTGGGGACAGAGACTAGGGAGGGACAAATGTGTAAAAGAATACCTGGATATCAGGCACCTCAGACCATTTGTCCATTTTATGACAAGAATTATTTAGATCTTGTGGGATGGAAAAATCAGAAGTGCCATTTTCTGGCTATTTGGAACCATTGTCGAGTTTGTATTGGGGTTAAGCGGCATTGCAGAAGAAAATAAGGCATTGAGATGTTAGGTCAGGTGTGAGTTGAAGAGATTTTAAGTTCTTGAGAACACAGGCTAAGGGAGAAGAAGGAGGAATGGAGGGTGGAAGTTTGCCTATAGTGATGGAGGCAAGCCCAGAGAAAAGAGAGGGTAGAGACATGGAGAGAAGGGGTGGGGGGTGCTTGCCCCCATGAAAGTGAAAAGAGAGGGTAGAGACACAGAGCAAAGGGGTGGGGGATGCTTGTCCCCCAGGAAAGTGGAGAGAAAAGAGAGGGTGGAGACACGGAGAGAAGGGGTGGGGGTACTTGCCCCCCAGGAAAGTGGTGCTTGCCACTAAGGGTGAAGGATCAAGGCAGGCGTCCCCACAGTGATCAGACACCTCTGAAACTTGGGTGAATAATCAAACAGGCGTTCCCTCAGTGATTAAACACCAAGGGAAGACTGTCTTCCCAAGTCCATGACCAGTGCCGGAGTTTTGGGTTCACGGATAAAACACGTCTCCTGTGTCTCTACCAGAAAAGGAAAGGAACTGAAATTAAGAGAAGGGAGAGATTGAAAGATGGCGCTAAGATTGAAAGGAGAAAGAGGTTGAGGGATAGTGAGAGAGGTTGGAGAAGAGAGTAAAAAGAGGCCACTTACCCGATTTAAAATTGGTGAGATGTTCCTTGGGCTGGTTGGTCTGAGGACCCGATGTCATAGGTGGATTTTCTCATGGAGCAAAGAGGAAGACGACAGGGGATTGATCTCCCAAGGGAGGTCCCCCGATCTGAGTCACACCACCAAATGTCACGCACATAGGGGTGGGGCCGTTTTATAGGATTTGGGTGGGTGGTGGAAAATTATAGTTAAAGAGGGGTTTTCTCTTATGGGCAGGGGCGGGGGTCACAAGGTGCTCAGTGGGGGAGGTTCTGAGCCAGGAGAAGGAATTTCACAAGGTTAATTGCTCAGTTAAGGTGGGGCAGGAACAAATCACAATGGTGGAATGTCATCAGTTAAGGCAGGAACTGGCCATTTTCACTTCTTTTGTGATTCTTCACTTGTTTCAGGCCATCTGGATGTATACATGCAGGTCACAGGGGATACAATGGCTTAGGTTGGGCTCATAGGCCTGACACTCTTATCACACACACACAAATTATGTTAGCTGATAGATATATTAAATGGCTCGACTGTGGCAATCATTTCCCTATGTATATGTATATCAAAGTTTCATGCTGCATACCTTAAATGTATATAATAAAAAATAAATTAAGTAAAAACATGCATTCTCCATTTTTATTGCATATGTTAATATTTTATTATATCTACATCATCAGATTTTCTAGTCATACAATATGCTGTCTCTCATTTAACTCTCACTAAACCACAGTTTTACATGTAACTATGTATTTATTGCTCACCACAAGTCCTTATATTAATGTTTCTATAGTCATTCTTGCTGTTTGAAACTTGTTTTAAGGACTATATCTTAAGATAAAAGCAAGTGAATGATACTCCCTGAGTTTTATGTGTTAATAACAGTTTCATAATTAAAGATCAGTTTTACTGAATATAATAACTTGTCTTACATTTTAATTGAGAACTTTACATATTTACTGTATTTTCTTCTGAAATAAAGCATTTCTGTTGGAAAGTCTGATGATAATTTAATTTTCTTTTCCACATAAGTCACATGCTCTTTTTGTTCTATATATCTAAAATATTTGCTTTCCTTTTCTTTAAATTCCAGAAGATGTGCTAGATTATGTATTGATGTCCCATAACAAAATGCTGCACAACTTAACAGCACAAAACAACAATTTTATTTGGTTTACAGATTTTGTGGGAAAGAAGCCTGGAAAGGGCACAAAGGAAACAGCTGTTTTCTCCTCTGCAATGTCAGGGGCTGCAGAATAGCTTTTTCACTTACATCTGGTGCTTGGACAGGCCAGACTTAGCTGGAACTCCTGGGTGAAGTATCTATGTGAGGCCTCTACAGTTGGTGGTCTCAGGGTGTTTGAAATTTTACATGGAAACTGAGGGCTTCATTATTCCCAGTGAAAAAGGTGGAAGTGACACGGTCTTATGAATTTCCTCATACTGTGTGGTCATAGCAGCCATATGCTGGCCCAAATTCAAGAGAAAGGGACACAGTTCCCTGATTTTATGGGAAGAATGTACAAAAATTTTAAGACTACCAACTTATTCTCTGTCTAACACATTATGTACATTCTTGCATTATTTGTAAAATCACCCAAAAGTCTTACACTACATATACATCAAGCTCAGACTCAAGTTTAAAGATTTATTGATTTAGATGACATCCAGGTATAGATGAGGTTCCTGAGTTTCAGTTCCTCAAGGAAGTTTCTCTTGATCTTATTGCTTATCATCAGTATCTGTCATTTTCACTCAAATCCTCTTGTCTCTTTTTTTTCTTTCTTTTTTCTTTTAAGACAGGGTTTGGCTCTATCACCCAGGCTTCAGGCATGCACCACCATGCTGGGCTAATTTTTGTATTTTTAGTAGAGATGGGTTTTGCCATGTTGGCCAGACTGGTCTTGAACTCCTGGCCTCAAGTAATTTGCCCAACTCACTATTTTTGATATTTAATTTATTTTCCTTTTAGCTTATATTTCTAACAGAGCACTATCTGTTTTTATTCTTTTTCTATTCTACCTTAGTTTTCATATATAAAACATTTTTCTTTTGTTCCTAATCATTTTTTTGAGTCTGCCGCTTCATTGGGGTTTTCTCATTCAAGTATGTTGATTTCTGTTAGGTTGCATCATTGTTCTTAATATATTTTAACTTATATTGAAATAGTACAGTAGAGTTTTGATCTGTTCTTTTGTGTTGAGCTTTACTTCCTGGTGGGCTTTTATTTTCTATAGGGAAGTAATTCTCTTTATTCCTTTTACCTTATAATAACTTCATGTGGAATTTGACATTTTTTTTTCTGCTGCTTATATGTATGTGGTTTTAATGTTCATAAACTGTTAGAAGAGGGCTTAGATGAGATAGCTTTCCCAACTTTAGGGAAGTTTCATTTAAGTTTTAAAAGATAACAGCTTACTTTGTGAAATTATTTGCATTAAGTTCCAAGCCTGCTTTCAACCTTTCAACCGGCTATTCTTATTCCTTCATCTCTGTCCTGCTTAATTTAGTTCTACTCCAAACTGTGTGATGACCATATAGAAGAGCATCTTGGCTGGTCAGTTTCAAGAGCTCACAGGGTAGCAAATGCCCAAGTCTCTTCAGATCTTTCCATGGACTCCATGCAGTCACCCATTATTAGAGGGAGCAACTCCCCCACCTCTTTCAGCTGCTAATTGCCAATTGATCTTTGATGGCTTCTAGTGCATAACCGTTAGCTATTTGGGGGTCCCATGTTCTCTTTTCTATCAGTCATCCCATTGCTTCCTTCTGGTTTCTTCTGCACAGGTGGATATAGCACGTAGTTACTATGTACTGCCAGTTTAATCCCTCTACCTTGTAATTTGCAGTTCTTGGGGATACTTTGCCATCTAGTTTTGTTATAAATTTTGAACATGTGTATTTAATTTAGCTCTCTAATCCCTCTTCTGCTTGTATGTAGATTACGGACAGTCCTCCCAAAAATGCTGCCAACACTGCTGCCATTTTCCAAAAAATCTTGAAGACAATTTCAAAAGATGTTTTCCAAACACCATTTGAGAAAGGGCAATGTGATAATGGCCAGCCTTGAATGGAGAACACTAGCACATCTGATCTGTTAAAATCAGGCTAAATATTGTATTGCTACATTTCATGTTAAAAATATTTCTAATGAAAAATGATAAAAAGTAGTGTGGAGCTTTTAATAAGTAAAATAAATGTTATTTTAAATGGTAGCATAAAAAAACTTTCCTTGTGGATAATCCAATTGGCATAAAAAAAGACTTAAGATGAATACCTTAATTTTCACTACTCCCTTTAATATCAACTTTATAAAAAGAATGTAATACAATCAACTGCACACATATCATTAAACCAAATAAATATATATCAGCTGCTTCTGCACAGGAAATAACTTGTGCATTTCGAAAGGGTCTAAGATCATTGGAGTATAAAATTGAAAGAGTTCTCACATTATCTTAAGAAATAACATGAAATGGTTTCTCACTGCATAATTCTCTAGAAAATCTAGGAAATTGCTTTGTACCCATGATGTGTCCTTTGATCTACAAGGTTTCACACACAGCATTTCTTTATTGTTTCTGGTTTCACTTTGGTAAGGATAATTTGTTTTAATCTCCAGGTTACTCTGGGGAAGTAATGTAATCATATTATTAGTTATCAATTCATAAATAATCAAATTCCCATAACAAAGATTTTTTTTTCTATTTCTATGATAGGGTATGGCTTCTGATCAAACTTTCTCTATATTTCTAAAAGTTATTAAAAAACCTATGTGAGGATATATGTTTTTTGTGATAACATTGAGTAAAGACAAAAATTAGTTATTGTTTTCTAGGAATGCAACTTAGTGTGCCTTTAAAGAAGACCTGATTTCTTATAGTGAAGCACACTTTATTGTAGATTTTAGAGATATGAGATATCAGTAAGACTGATTGTTCCATCAACCTCTCACTATCAAAAGGTAAGGTACAATATTGTCTACTCTGAATTGAACACTGAAGTTCCATTTATTTTGGATTATAATTCAAACAATCTAGACTATCTAAATTAGCATTTGTTTAGAATTTTAGAATTCTAATTTTTAGCTCCAAATTCGATTCTCAAACAAAAGTTCTCTTTCATTAATACATACATATATGTGTTTATATTTTATACATATATAGATATATGTTGTGGGTATACATGTGTGTGCCTATATATACATATGTGTGTGTGTGTGTGTGTGTGTATATATATATATATATATATATATATATATACCGATGTATGTATAAAAACAGTATGTACAGTTTCCCTGCCATTTGTTGGGTGGTTTCTTGCTGCTGGTCTTTTCTGGGATAACTCCTACAGTGGAAGCCAGCTGGTAGCCAGGGGGAGAAAGAGGTTTTGTGATTCAAGATAACCTCATTTGCATGTTGGAAGCCACCTGGCTCCCTCTCTCCAGGTGATTTCTTATCCTGTAAGAGGCTAGGCCAGCTTATTTTCCCTGGGTTCAAAGAAGCAAGAAGTTGTTATAATTCGCAAGACCTCCTGATAAATAAAAGCACTGAAGCATTCAACCTGCCTTTCTTACTACTCTGTGACTAAATAATAGATTTTTTAAAATATGTTTTTTAAAATAAAATTAGTACAGTTAGTAAATGAAAATAATAGAATATCATCATTTTACAACCCCCAATAGAATAAAGCTTTTAGGCACCAGACAGCAACAGATGCTAACACCAAAAAGAACCCAAACTGGAGAGATATGCCTCCTGAAATACTCACACATGCACACACACACATACACGGTATCACACTGTATGCACATCACCACCCATGGTCTTGTCAAAGGTATCAAACTTGATTCTGATGAAGTGTCTGGATCCAGCTCCCAGTCTGTAGGAAATAGGGAGAACAATGTAGCATTTTGCACTACACAAGAAGCATGCAATCTGCAACTTCTAGGCTATGAAAAGTTTTATATGTTAAATGACTTAATAATTAATGAAAAACAATTTTAATAAAGGGATAAAAATGACTTTAAGAGAGTCTTGAAATAAATGTCAAAAAATTTTAATTTACTATTTTAAATTTAATTACTAAATTATTTGCTAAATTTAAAATTACTAAACATTAATCTAAGGATGGTCACTTGAATGATAATCGTAAAAAGGCAAAGTAATTTCTGAAAATAAAAATCAGGATATTGGTCACTTTGAAGAGTGTAAGGAGATCATAATTTGGATGGATAACACAAGGAGCTTCCAGATAACCAGGCTCAAATTTCTAATTTTAACATTAAAAAAATCCCTGATAAGATTGATTATGGGACATAGGGTTGTTGATGACTAAGTACACCTTTTATAGAAAAAGAATTATAGATTTTGAATGAATCTATAACAGACATTCAAGTTGATTCTCCAAAAATATTCAAAATAATTTTTCTGCAAAGTTGTAGCCACTTTTGTATAAAAACACAATACTTAAAAGTGACTACTTTGAAGGTACTAACATATTTAGGTGTGTACATTCTAATGTTTCTTTAGAAATTCATAATAGTTTATAGCCATGTATAGTATGCCTATTTTCATAATGACTTATATAGTAGAGAAAATGTAATTGGGTTAGTATAAAGGGTTGGAAATTTTTCTATAGAAATGTTTAATAAATTATTTTATTTGCAATAAATTCATGTGTGTCAGAGTACATTTCTGATATATATATATTCTTTATCTAAAGTGAAGCCTATATTTTTGAAGAGTGTTTCCAAGAATAAAATAAGAAAATGTATGAGGTCTAAACATTTTGAGAAATAGTGGTTAAGAGAGTGGAACCGTTTAACAGAGAGAACATTTGATTGAAGACTTGGGGATGACTCAACTTGTGAAGAGAAGGATAACAATAGTGCTTCAAGCAAACTTTCTATTTCTGCTTAGATTATTTGAGAAATTCAGGCAAAATTCAAGCAGTTGCTTCAACTGTTCACATCACTTCAGCAGTAGCATAAGTCTGCGCTGGGAAAATGAAGCACACTGATTTAATAACTGACAAAGATGCAGGATATGTAGAAAGTAGTGGGGACTGGCATTACTGTGCAAATGCTCTGACTTTGATTTTCTATAACTTAAGAGCAAAGTATAAATGTGAGATAATCAAGTTTGAAGTTCTAGAAAAACATATTTCTCGACCATCTTAATATTTCAATTAAATGTGAATGGAAATAACTAATCAAAATGCTTTAGGTGTTAATAACATTTCACCATAAATATCACCACATGTTTCAGAAATTTTACATTATAGTAATTTAATGTTTACTGTAACAGCATAAAAACCACCTACTTCAAAGCAGCAGAATATAAAAAGTAATGTTGTCTTTTGAAACACGTTCACAGAAGACAGAAGAAAAATTTTTAAATTAAAAAAATGAAACAGAGAGACAAAGAAGCATAATAACAAGAATTTCTTTAATAGAATTGAAATTGGTTTTCCCAGGGTGAAAATACTAAGGAAGGTAATGAACTGGAAAGTCTCTAGGCCAAAATCGGCCAGGAGGTTATTGCCGTGAATCTGTGTTGTCCATTTGACCCAGGGAAAATGCAAAGATAAGAGAATAGAGTATACTCTTGACTCTAATCTTAATGTGATTGGACTAAAATGGCAATCAAATTGTTGCTTTTGAGTAGCAGACATTCCTTATTGCTTCTGCAGCTAGGCTTCAAAACTGGATGGCTTCAACATCCCAGCTGGTTTTCTACTCCTGCTAACCCTGATTATAAAACTTTCTTCTTGGTTAAATTTATATTATCTTCATGCATCTATGTATTTCTCCTTCCACAAAAATAAATGCTGATCTACATGAAAATAAATTCTTCATTGCAGAAGGTAAATAATAAATTGCAGAGTGTCTCCAGAGAGCTTTACTATCCATGATTTTCATAGCAGAGTAACACTTTTTAGGACAGCTCTTCATTACCTGGTAATTCAAGAGATCTATTTTATTGTAGGTTTCAAAACTTGCTTCTTTGTTTTATAAATAGAACTATATTCTTCCAAAGTGTATACAGTCTGATTATCTAGAACAGTAACATTAATACATATTTCTATATGTGGATTTACATAAATTATATTGTATAATAAATCATTTTATTAGTTTATTTTTACTTATAAATGTGTACATATTTTTACTTATAAATGTGTACATTTGTGTCTGTATATATATGTAATATTGGTCTAGGTACTAAATAATATAAATTGATATAAATATAGCCAAAAAAGCCTACCGTTTTAAATGAACATCTGTGTGATAAATATATACTGTAGACAATAATTTTCTCTAATGACAACTTCCAGGATTATCCTGGTAAAAAATGAGAATGATTTTTATATTTTTGTAGGTACAAAAATCTTCCTGAGATACATATACTTAGGCTTGAAAAAAGTGATTACCATATTCTTGAAGTCTTATTTTCTTTATAGTTAATATAATTTCAAATACGTGGAGCAATTATTCAAGCAGCATAAACTATTTTAAGTCAGTACAATAGAGATTAACCAGTTAAATTCAATGAGCCAAAACTCAATCCTTTGTCTAACGTTACTAAGCAGGGAGAGTGTAGACAAAGAAATATGACCAAACTTATGCCATGATTGTTGGAAGAGGTTTTGATTAGTTCTTTATTAATAAAGATACTTTCAACTAGTAATATACTAATCATTTCAACACTACTTGAGGCAACCGGTAAACAGTTGGCTACTTCTATTGCTTCTCAGTACCCAAACTCTACTTGTAAGCCAGACTACCCTTAGAACACACAACTAACTCTCTGATAAGACAAAAGCGAACATATACAGATAGCCCCAACTCTAACTCTAAGCACTTTAAAAAATTTATCTTGTCCCTTAAGATTCTGTAAGGGTGACATTAAAAACAATAACAATATGTACAATCATCAGTCTTAATACCAACACATTTAAATGACTGCTTTGTACAGAATTTCCCCAGCTTGTGGCTTTGAGTTGATTTTCATCTACCTAGTTATATGAGTATAGAAAATGTAGTAAAATTATATAAATCAATGTAATAACAAAACAGATAACAAAGGATAGAGCAAAAACTTGTGTATGTTATTATAAACTACATCTAATAAAAAACACAGTACATTTTGCTACAATTATTCCACTTGAAAATAATCACTGTAATGGCTGTTCTGTCATAAGAAATTGTTTTAACAATTTTTAAAATTTTTAAAAATTTTAAAAATAATTTATTCCAAAAAAAAAATACTACTAATGAAGACACTTACCCCACTCCTCTGGTTTCTAAGGCATCTTAGCAAATAGGCATCGCAGCAGGAAAACACGCTTCTGGCTACAGAATTGTAATGTGGTTTCAAGGACACTGCAGTATCTTTTAAAATAATATGACAAAATAGACTACTTGGAAAGCAACAAATCTGTTTTGCAAACTAATAGAAGACCTTTCATGATTTTATTTTAAATTAAAATATTTCGACACTACTTTATTTGTTGAACATTGAAGCACCAAAGAAGGAAAAAACAAGTTGATAGGAATCCGTGTATTCTCCGTGGGTTTTATCCTTACATTTTCACTAAAGAAAAAAACAGAATGTTTCCTAATGGGGCCACTGAATCAAAGATTTTGATTGAAGTTATTTTTGAGAGATAATTTAAAGGGGATAAAATGTTATGTCTATAAATACATCGTTTTAAATTCAGAAATCAATGATTTCTAGTCTCTAAATGTGGAGGTTCAAAAGATATATAAGTGAGTGTGTGTGTGTTGAGGAGGGGTGAGAATAACAGACAAATGCTATTTACGTATGCACAATATTTCTTTCTTTTTTCTTTTCTTTTTTTTTTCTTTTTTTCTTTTTCTTTTTTTTGAGACAGAGCCTCGCTCTGTCACCCAGGCTGGAGATCAGTGACAGGATCTCAGCTCACTGCAACCTCTGCCTCCCAGGTTCAAGCGATTCTCCTGCCTCATCCTGCCAAGTAGCTGGGACTACAGGCACCCGCCACCACGCCCGGCTAATTTTTGTATTTTTAATAGAGACGGGATTTCACCACGTTGGCCAGGATGGTTTCGATCTCTTGACCTTGTGATCCTCCTGCCTCGGCCTCCCAAAGTGTTGGGAATACAGGTGTGAGCCACTGTGCTCAACCTACGCACACTATTTCTTATAGATAATAGTCTATAATTTCCCCAGGCTGGTTCTGAATTACTGAGCAAACCTCATATATCTTAAAGTTGAAGGAGATTTCAATTTCCTTCTTATCTTTTGTAAGGCTGATTAAATATAGTACTCATGATATATAAGCTGCTAAAACAGAAGAACATATCTGATATGAAATCATTAGAATAGGAAACATAGCATAGATATATTTTCTTCTGCCTTTATCCAAACCCCAGTCCTGGATTTCTAGAGAAAGATAGCACTACGGTTTGAATGTCTTCTCGAAAATTCATGTTAAAACTTAATCCGGGCCGGGCATGGTGGCTCCCGCCTGTAATCCCAGCACTTTGGGAGGCCGAGGTGGGCAGATCACGAAGTCAGGAGATCGAGACCATCCTGGCTAACACGGTGAAACCCTGTCTCTAAAAAAAAAAAAAAAAATACAAAAAAATTAGCCAGATGTGGTGGCGGGCACCTGTAGTCCCAGCTACTTGGGAGGCTGAGGCAGAAGAATGGCGAGAACCCGGGAGGTGGAGCTTGCAGTGAGCCAAGATCGCGCCACTGCACTCCAGCCTGGGCGACAGAGCGAGACTCCGTCTCAAACAAACAAACAAAAAACCTTAATCCGCCATGTGGCAGTATGGAGAGGTGTGGTGTTTAAGAGGTCATTGCAGCATGAGGGCTCTGCTTTCATTAATGGATTTAAGTTATTCATGGGTGAATGGGTTCTCTTGGGAGTGAGAATGGTGGCTTTGTAAACTGAGGAAGAGGGACCTGAGTGAGCATGCTCAGCTCCCTTTCCATTTGATGTCTTGTGTTGCTTCAAGTTTCTGTAGAGTTCTCACCAGCAAGAAAGCTCTCACCAGATGTGGTCCCTCTCCCTTGGACTTTCCAGCCTCCCAAACTGTAAGAAATAAATTCCTTTTTTTTATATCACCCAGTTGTAGTTATCTGCTATATGCAACAGAAAATGGACTAAGATGGATTTCTTTTATTGAAAAGTCTCCATAGGCCTTGTTCCTTTTGTCACAGAAATAATAAAAGTGATGGCTTTGACCTAAACTCAGGCTGACCATGGATGACTGACTTGCTGGAAGATGCTGTTTCTCGTTTTTCCACTGGGGAAAAAATGTCTAGATCTGGACCGAGAGTCTTGAAAGCAATTTACGTTTACACCAAAATCCCACAGGCGCCCATTAGGTATATTTGCTCGATTAAATACAAATCTTGAGGTCCCAAACTTTGACAGATTTTTAGACTTATTATCTTTCAGTTGCATTGGTTACATACATAAATAAACCCAGCTTTATTTTCTTATTCTTGTTCAATTTTAACAGGCTTTCATGCTAAACTACATTAGAAGTTTCTTCCCATTGAAATTCAATATTATGTTTATGCAACCTGTGTGTGACCAGATAGGACTAAATTTGTTTATGGTGGGGAATTAAAAGCAATCCAGGAGACATCTGCTTCTTTCTAGGTTGATGAAAGGGACAAAAGAACATTGTTCCTACCTAACCACGAGAACCAGCTAGATAACCTATAATATAATTATTTAAAGTCCTCAGGGAGCTTATAATTCAAAAAATATAATAAACCAAAATTTTAAAAACGTGATAAATCCCTTCTAGAGAAGAAAAGACACAAAGTTTCTTTCACCCTTGGCGGAGTAGCAGTAGGAGAAAGAATAGACATAGATAAGACAAAGACAACTAAACATATAACACAGTTTTAAAAGACCAAGTATGAGTTTTTAAGATAATTTAACATCCCTAAGTCTCAGACTCAAGGGGAATCTGCACGTACTTGTCAATTCTTTTCTATGGGCTTTCACCTAGAGATCATGAGAGAGATTGCAGGCAGGAGAGCTGAAAGCGTCCTCTGCTGAAGCCTAGGCACGTGAGACATGTGAAAGTCGGAGGGCTGGACCAGAAGAGCAAAGGAAACTCTAAGGATGACTCAGACTTTACACAAAGTACTAGGTATAACTCTATAACCAGGGGAGAGGCAGAGAGTTTTAAGAAAAGCATCCTCTTTGAGGCACCATAACTGCTCCAGGCACTTAACCCCTATGCCCATCAATAATTTAAAGCTGACAGTCTTTCGAATCTAACCAAATGAAACACAGGTCAAGATCCAGCTTTACAGATTTGATTGATTCCATGTCCCATAATTATAGCCTGACGGTAGAAGAAGCATGCCTTTTCCAGGCATAAATATCATTTACTTCACTCTCTACTAGCCTTTTATAAGATGGTGTTCTGCAGCCAATCAAAATATACAAGTCACTGAAAGATGCCAGAAAATGTGACCTAGTCTCAAGAGGGGAAAGAATATATCCAAACTCAGAGATGACCCAAATAATAAAATTATCAGACAAGCCTTTAAAATTCATCAAGTAGTAAAATAAAATAATAAAACATATAAACAGATTGGAATTTTATCAGGCAGATAAAAATTATATAAATGAGCAATAAACAACGCTAGATGTAAAAACAATGATATCAAATAATAAGCTTTTTCAAGATGCTTATTAGCAGACTGAAGACAGCAGAATAAGCAATAAATATACCTGAAGATAAGTCAATAGAAATTAGTTAAACTGAAACAAAAGAGAAAATAAAAAATAATTTAAAAATGAACCAGAGCATTTGAAATCTGTGAGCCAGTAGCAAAACAAGTATATAGCTGGAGTTGCAGAAAAAGAAGTGAGAAAGAGGGGTACAGGAGAAACATTTGAAGAGATAATATCCAGGAGTGAAACAAAATTAATGAAAGACATAATCCAGAAGTCAAATGAATTAAATAATTCACAAGCAGGATAAATACGAAACAGACATCACCTTGGTAAATTGTAGTCAACCTTCTGAAAGCTAATGATAAAAAGAAAATCTTGAAAGCAGCCAAAGGAAAGAGATGTCTTATGTTCAGGGAACAATGATAAAAATAATGGCTGAATTGACATAAGAAATAATGGAGGACAAGCATAAAGAATGTACATTTTTATGTGCTGAAAGAAAAGAAAAAATTGCTAATTCTGAATTCTATATCCAAGAAAGTATTCCTTAAAAATGAATGTGAAGCAGACATTTTCAGAATGACAAAATCTAGAAGCATTTGTCTACAGCAATCCTATAATATAAGAAATATTAAAAGTTAGTTCTAGGCTGAAACAAATTGATAACAGATAGAAATCAAGTTGGACAAGAAAATTTAATATTACACAAAGATGAATAACTCAAGAAAAAAATAATCTTAGACGTGTGTTCCCGTAACAACAAAGTTCGCAACATGTATACCCAAAATGGACATACCTAAAAGTACAAAAAGAAATACAAGACCTAGCTTGAGACTTTTTACATCTTTTTCTGCAGTAATTGGTAAAACAAGTAGAAAAAGAAAAGTATAGAAATTGGAGCAACATTAATTGATATTTATAGAATATTATATTCCCAAACAGCAAGAAGCATATTCTTCTTAATTATAAATGGAAAATTCACCAAGAATGAACAATAAATCAAGTCTCAATAAGTTTAAAAGAGTCAAATCATATAGATTATACTCTTTGACCATAATGCTATCAAACTGTAAATAAGTGGCAAAAAGATATCTGAAAAATCTTCAAGTATTAGAAGTTAAACAATTAATTTTCCAATAAATCATATATTTATAGAAGAAATCCCAGTAAGTGTTTTAAAAATATTTCTAAATGAATGATTATAAAAACACAGTATTTCTAAATTAACAGGGTGCCACAGAATGTTTCAAAGAAAATACATATTTTAAATGCTTATATTAGAAAAAGTGAAAGATGCAAAATAAATGATAAGCTGCCACTTTAAGAAGATATACAAAGAAAAGCAAGTTAAAATTAAAAGAAAAATAGAATAATAAAAATAATAGCAGAAATGAATGAAATAGAAAATAAACAGTAGCTAAAATTGACAGTCAAAGGTTAGTAAATTTTGTTCCTCACAACTTGACTTACAAAAAAACTAAAGTCTTTGATATGGTTAACAAAATTGTTAAATCCATACGAAGACTGAGTATTAAAATAAAGAGAGAAAAAGGTGCAAGTCACCAATATCATGATGAAAGAGGGGACATCTTTACAGATGCTGCTGACATTTAAAGGATCATAACATTATGCCAATTAAATTGACAACTGAGGTGAAACGTGCATATTTTTTGAAGATCACAGCTTCCCCAATTCAAAACAAGAAATAGAAAATTTTAGTAGATCTCTATCTATTTCATATTTTTGTAATTAAAAAGAAATCCCACAAAGAAATTCCTGACACAAATAGTTTCAGTGGTGAATTCTGTAAATTGTTTAAGAAAGACATAATATCAATATCAAACAAAACTCTTCAGAAACTAGGGGAGGAAGGAGCATTTCCTAACTTGTTTTTGTGAAGTAAACGTAAGCCTGATAGAAAACCAGACAAATATATTATAATAAAATAAAACTGCAGACCAATGTTCCTCATGAACATAACAGAATATTAGCAAATCCAATCCAGCAATTCATAAAAAAGGATAATACAATATAATGGTTCGTTTTATCTCTGAATTGTAAAATGGCTTAACAAAAAATCAATATAATCTGCTACCATTTTAAGAAAAATCATATGATGATGTAAATAGACATAGAAAACACCATTTGACAAAATGCAACACCAATTCATGACAAAAGCTATAAGCAAACTAAAAAAAATAAATAGAACTTCCTTATCTACAAGAGGGCAGCTACAAAAATCTACAAGGCTCATCATAGCTAATGGTGAAGTATTAAACACTCCTCCCACCTCAACATTGAGAAGAAAAAAGGAATGTCTCCTTTCAACGTTACTACTGAACATTGTACTATACCAGTGGAAGTGGGGTCACATCTGTCCAAAAACATCTGAAGGGAGTGGTGTTAGCCAGAGAACTACTAGAGTGGGATACAGTATTCCACTGTAGTATACTATAGAAACTGTATCCCACTGTGGTAGCTCTCTGGCTACAGATTACTTGTAGCCGTAATATCCTATAAGGTATAGAGTGGTTTTGTGCAGATAATTTCTAAGCAATTTTAACCTGGGTTTATGTCACATAGGTGAATCATAGTTTCCAGAGAACAAAAACAACATAGATTACCTGGTTTTCTGAAATCTATATTCATCTTTAATGAACCACAGGTTTAATACTCCCTGTTATTACAAGGCTGAATCAACAGGCCATCACAAAGTACATTGAGATCATATATTAACCATAACAGCACACAGAAGAAGGAGGTTAAAACCATATAATCTCAATTAATTTAATTTGTAATTTCTGAAGTACTTGGTGCAAGATGATAACTTTATAACATACTTCAAGTATACCAGTTTTGAAAGCTACAACAGGATATTTTATGGTTCCAATAGTGTCCTACTAATCATAATTGTGCAAAATACTGTAGAAAGTTATATAGAGATCTAAGAGCTAAATGTGACTTTTATTTATTTTTCAATAGCAGAAAAAATCCCACTAATACTCTAGTAGGGATCTAAATGGAAAGAAGGCATTTTAATAACACTATTCTCAGTCAAAAGGAAGAATAAATACCATACATGAGAAACAGCCAATAAACGCCAATTGTAGTGCCTTTAAATAAAATTTGAAGTATAAATTGAGTGACAAAATTTTATGCTAATACATTGGAAAAGAGTGAACTGCTTAATTTTATGAATGTGCTTTTCCAATCAGATTAGAGTCATTCATTCACTTTCCCCTGAGCAATTACTAATGGAGAAACAACCAGATGCCTAATACTGTATTCAGTAATGAAAATTAGAAATGGAAAAGTATGTAAGCCATGGCCTGCCTCCAATTTGGTGTAATAAATAGAATAAAAAACTGACAGATTATTATAATACCACTTTATAGTCACTATTCCAGATATATGAACAGATGTTGCAAATTATACAACATAAAGTTAAGTTTGACTTGAAGAGTTGAGGCTGTGTTACCTTTCTCACTCGTTTGCTTCCAAGTGAGGTTTGCACAGAAAACTAGGAGGAGTTTGCTATGTGAGAAAGGGGAGAAAGAGCATTCCAGGTACAGAGTAAAGCATCCACGGGTTTAAATGATGCCCAGCTCATTTGGGAAACCTAAAATATTGGGAGCCCCTGTTATACCTTTCAGAGAGCAGCAGGTCTTGGGGAAATGGGAAGGGAGAGATGGAGCTTGAAACAGAAGCTGCAGCAAAGTTGCAAATGACAATGATGTGGAAGCCTAGGTTAAAGTGGGATTTAATTCCAAAGACAAGCAACAGAGAAGCAGCATTTTAAAACCAGGAGTTACATAGCAGATTATGTTCTTAGGGAGAACATTTTGTGGCAATTCATCAGATGGGTTTAACTAGGGAGAGTCTTGTGGGAGGATGGCCAGTCAGTGGGCTGAAGCAGTATTTCAAGTGAGAATGGACTTCTTCAGCAATAATGGTGGCATCAAAAATGAAATTCTATACTATTGCTATGTACATGTGCACTGCTGATATTTAAAATATATTTTGTTCAGTGCATCAGCAACCCCTTTTCTGTCATTTTTTTCTTTATTAATTGTCTTTTCTTTCACCTGTATAGCCAAATACTCATCCTTTGCTCTAAGTGTTAAAACGATCTGTGCTTTATTCTCCATGTGAACATCTGAATGATTTAAAACAATGGAATTTTAGTTAAAGATACTGGAATCTCTTCAGCATGTGCTAAAGCACTTTAAGAGATAAAAATCCCTAATAATGCCAATCTTCTTCCCATCCTCTTTCTATTTGATTTTGTTGAAAGAAGAAAATGATATAATAAGAGGATTACGATTTTTCTTGATCCGAATTATAATTTTATGTTCTTTCAAAAACAGTAGGATTCACGTGTAGGTTTGAGTGGGAAGCTGATGCACGCTACTGATCATTTTATCAACAGGGAAAAATAAATGAGATCAAAGATCCAAAAATTAGATTTTTAATTTGCAGTTTTATAACAAGTTTTTCCAAATAATACATACATCTTAAATTGCTGAGGTCATTTTTTTTTAATTTTTGCAAAACACAATGCCTGGCAAAATAGAGTGTATAAACTTACGGTCATGTTTGATAAAAACAGCTGATTAATGATGGAATTTAAACAACACAATACTGTGCTCAAAATTTAAATGGCTCCCTCATCTGTTCCTCTCAAATTCAAGCAAATTTTCATGTCAGCACAGGACCTTGATCTGTTATTTTCCAAGGAACCACATTTAAGTCAGGTAAACCTATTTATGTTCCCAGATAATGTGTAATTCCTAGGGGTGTGTGCAGTGCTGTAGGTATAAGTGTGAAGGATAACGGAGAAAGAGGTACATTCTCCCACTAGGGTTTGATGACAGGCTACTGTAACCTCCTACCAGAGAGAATTGGTCGGTTTGTGCAGCCTGCTCACAACCCTTAGCCTGAGCATACATGTCAGCTCTGTGAGGAGCGGTGAAGAGCTTTCTCATCTATGTATCTTACCAGTAAACAGCATAGATGCTTAATAACTACTTACTCAATCAAATTAGTCTTACATGCCCACAGTGCCTAATGTGTGGAGCATTTTCCCCATCCTCCCAATGTCAAAGACAGTTTAAAAGGGCTGCCTTGAAGGAAAAATAAAATCTACATATTTAAAAAATGTAGTTGTGTTAGTCCGCTCTCGCATTGCTATAAAGAAATACTGGAAACTGGGTAATTTATAAAGAAAAGAGGTTTAAGTGGCTCATGGTTCTGCAGGCTTTACAGGAAGCAAGATACTGGCATCTGCTTGGCTTCATGATGGAAGGCAAGAGGAGCAGGCACATCACATGGCCAGAGCAGGAGCAACAGAGCAAGCAGAGAGGTGCTACACAATTTTAGATCACCAGATCTTATGGGAACAAACTTACTATCGCAAGGACAGTACCAAGTAGGATGGTGTTAAACCATTCATGAGAAACACACCTCCATGATCCAAACACCTCCCACCAGGCCAACATTGGGGATTACATTTCAATATGAGATTTGGGCAGGGACACACAGCCAAACTATATCAGAAGTCTTGGAGGTGAGTGTGGAAGAAAGGGGCACTTGATGAACCTTTATTTTGAATGAGTCCTGTAGCAAACTAAGCTTAAACTGTAAGCAAGTTTCCTAGCCTCACTTCATTGAATTTGTTTCTGCATCTGTCATAAAGCAGCAGATTTCTTCCATCTCTTCAATGACATGACACTGATTCACTGAGATTGGGATAATGATGAAAAGACAGGGAAACAGAGAACATTAGTTGTGTTCGTGCACACACACACACACACACACAGACAACTACATTTATTCTACTATCTCCCCTCTACTCTATTCCATATAAGATATGATGCTTTAGGAGGGATGTGGATTGTTTGAGGTTATCTCTCACATTGTAAGTGACAAAAAGGCAGCTCCGTGCAGGGGGATAAGCTTCCGTTGCTCTTATGTCCGTCCATTTCATGTAATAATAAAGGTGAGATTGCTCAGGACATTGAAGATATAATTTGGCCAAGTATAAACAGCACCAAAAATTGCTGAATATGAGGATGATTACGCTGTCAGCAGAGCTATGAGTGCAGGTTTGTGGATAACAAGTAATCACAGTATTCCACAGGCTGAATTGCCTCCTCTGTTCATAAGGAGCAGCCAGTGACATTTAACTCATTCTCATCTTTGTTATCTCAAAGTTTATATACTGGGTGACGTGAAGTTTCTTATCACTACCAGTATAGTTTAACTTTGTATTGCATCACTATTGTAAACACTGCTTATGTTACAGTGATTGCTTACATTGAAAAGTTTTGGAGATACATGACGGGGAAAGCATGAAAAGAAATATGTGGATAGTAGTCTTAGATGCACTTCTGCATCTAATTTTTTTTCCATTGAAAAAGATAAAATAACGAATACATAGCTGCTCGGTTTTTTTTTTTTTTTTAATTATACTTTGAGTTCTGGGATACATGTGCAGAACATACAGGTTTGTTACATAGGTGTACATGTGCCAAGGTGGTTTGCTACACCCATCAACCCATCAGCTAGGTTTTGATCCCCACATGCATTAGGTATTTGTCCTAATGCTCTCCCTGCCCTTGCCCCCCACCTCCCCAGCAGGCCCCAGTGTGTGATGTTCCCCTCCCTGTATCCATGCGTTCTCATTGTTCAACTCCCACTTATGAGTGAGAGCATGCGGTGTTTGGTTTTCTGTTCCTGTGTTAGTTTGCTGAGAATGATGGTTTCCAGCTTCACTCATGTCCCTGCAAAGGACATGAACTCGGTGGTTTTAAAATTAAATCTAGCACATAAAACTACATAACAGGTCCCACCCTCAAGTCGTGATTTATAGTAGAATTCCTTGGGACTGACAGAACAACTAAGATCTAGAAAACTTTCTTGTAGTTTTTGAAAACTACCCAATTTCAAAGTTACAAATATTTATTATTCCTAGAGAAACTAGAAGTTTAGAGGTAGCCTGTGTCATGGGGAAATCTTTGCAAAGAGGTGGTGTGTGCTTTCCTGTGCTTTCCAAAATGTAATGTGTTTTTGAAGTACCGGGACCTGGGGGATCTTATTAAAATGCAGATTTAGGTTCAGTAGCTCTGGCATAGGGCCTGAGACTCTAGAATTGTTAACAAGCTCCCAGGAGAGGCCAGTGCTGCTGCTTAGTGGAACACACTTTGAGTGGCAAGGATATGGACACCTCCCTTACCAAGGAACACTAGTTTAGCTAATTTCTTACTATCTAAGCTGTGTTAAAGATGAAGTTGTGGGAGCTTGTTTTGGCAGGTGTTATCTCAACTGTATCTCTAGTAGCTCAGTGCTTGGTGTATGTCGGTGTTAATAAATATTTGCTGAACTACTAATGTCGACTATGAAGGTTGATACAAACAAGCTCTCACAACTGTGATAGTAAGAACTGTGTTAAATAGTAAGGATAGTGAGAACTGTGAAAAAAGTGAGTCATTTACAATCTCTGGTGAAATACTATTTAAAGGTAAATAGTCACAGAATATTTTTCTTTGATTAATACAGGTGTTAATTCATATATATTTATGGGAAGCAAATTGAGCATTTGGAATATGAGTGTGGAGATTTTTAATCACAAACTTATTTTAAGTCATGTTTAGAAATATGAAGGGTAAGTGTGTCAAGCTGTGCTATTCACATACTCACAAAAATATGTGAATAATTTTATGAGTCTTTGTGTATAATTCTTTTTAAGTATCTTTTTAATAAATATACAAACTGTAAATATACTGATGTTATTAAATGTCAACATATGGGCAAACAGATTTCTTAATAATTTTTTATAACAATTGTTTATTAAATAAATTCTACTCTATCAAAACAGAATTCTTACTATACTCTTATAGTATATACAAATCTATCTTTTTTTAATCCAATGAGAAAGTCAATTTTTTTAGAAGATACACATAGCCTTTCATTTAACTACAAAATGAGAATATGGAAGATATATAGATAAATCTGCCACCTAATGTTAGGTAGTTTGAACTTACGTGGTTTGGTAAACAATGAAGCTAAACAGCTATAATAATAATGTGAAGGGAAGCATATACTGGTATAATAGCTGTGTATATACTTACTTTACTATTATTGACATTTAACACATTTGAGGAAAGGTTAAAAATTATATACACATTATAAAAGGTATTTGTTTCATTATTGCCTCCAAAGAAGTTACAGTGAGCTTGATTTTTAATTTGTTTTGAAACCTAAAAACACATTAAACACATATAGGTGGTTTGTTTATTTTAAATTTAGAAAAGGAATTGATATATTGACTGTAAGTTTCTGTCATAGTTTCTTTCATGATCATAAAATACTTTATTTTCAAAGTTAGACTATGTAGATAATGGCTCCCTCTACTGGTCAAACTATGTTGGTGATATGTATGTAAAGTACTTGAACAACCTAAATTTCACCACACTGAAAAAGAAAACATTTGGCACTCACAGGAATAACCGTTAACTACATTTCTAATACACTGTCATTGTCTGAAAACAAAAAGAATTTGGTATGTAGTTAAAGTTTTATTCTTTGCTTTATGTGAAAGTAATTCTCTTCCTTGTGTATTTATTAGCAATAAAAAACCTAAAGATATCACTTAACTAGAAGACTAAAGTTATATCTTAACTAAAAGACTAAAGATAACTCTAAAAGTAATGAAGACGTAGGGATAACCAAAAGCATCTATTTGATTACAAAAAAATAACTTTATCTTACAGCAATTATGACTCATTTCTAAGCTAAATTATATAATGTAATATCAGCTTTTTTTCCTCCTTTAATTACAGATGTTGCCTAGATTGCTTCTAGCTGAACAGTGTTTATTTTGGCCCCATATGCTTTATCTTTTCAGAAAAATTATGCATTTTCTGAAAGGAAGGGACATGTCTTATGTTCCTAATTATATACTCAAAATTTTAATTAATTCAATTAATTTTTCTGATTTTATAAAACCTAATATTGCTAACTATTGCTCCAAGTTGTTCATAAATTAATTTAAGCCAGAGAGCATAGAAACTATGTTTTGTTCCAATGCTAATATGTAACCTTATTTTAGACCATGTATAGAGCGTACTAAGGTAATTAAAAAAATACTTGCATAGTATATTATCTGTTTCTTATTTATTTAGAATATTTTCATTAACATTTTTTCTTCTTTTTAAAATCTGGTTCGCTACCATATGAGGACTTTCTATGATTTTAAAAATTAACTACTTGGCAAATGCCAAGCTTTTGTTCTACTTGCTGGTAACAGTTACCAAATTCTTCTATGTTGGAGTGGGAGTGGAACACAAGCATGTGAAGTTATTGTCTCAGCAAAATTCACATGGTTATTACTTGGTAGATTGCCTCTTGAATGTCAAATCATAGTTCATTCAACTAGAGCTATCTTAGTGATGCCTTTTAAGGTTTATAGGACCAAATTTTTGCTACACCTGGCATCCTTCAACATCCCTTCACAAAAGATATTTCTGTACTCAAACTCAGATTGTGAATTCTGCCTATCGTTGTGGAACTAATAATTTTCTTTTTGAATTACATTCATTTTTTATTCTTTTTTCTCTGGTTATTCCTCAATCCATCAACAGTTGAGCTCCCAGAAGATTAATACATGCAATTTACAATTGAATTACAACATTTCCAATACAATCCTCTTGGAACTGTTAGATTCAGAGTGCTCCCTTTTGATGCTATTCTCTTAAAAATATTATTACTGACATTTTCATAATCTCTTGCAAATAAAACATCGGTAATAGTTCAGACGAGCATATTACATTAACTACGAAGTATACATCATTGGTATGAACACATTTTGGGAAGTCAGGTTTGTAATAAAAACTACAAAAAAATACAAATTCCTCCATTCATAATAAAGATTTGCTCTTTTGAATATCACCTTAACAAGATGACAGGAAAAAAAAAACTGTGTTTCTATGTATAGATTATAAATCCATTTAAAATTATAATGGCCTTTGAGCTTTTCTAAATGTAAAAATATTACCATAAATGGTTCTCAAAGCAAAAAGTATTATGCAAATAAAATGGGTATCTAGAATTAGAACTTTGGGAGGAAGTAGTTAGTGGTATGAAAAAGTTTAACTGATGCTGAACATTTAACAAGAGAAGTGAATAATTTTACTTTTTACTCAGTTTTTCCTGATGGAAGAGCAGGTTCAATAGCCAAAAATGGCCTTTAATTTTTAATTAAATGTAAGCCTGAAAGACCTGTGGTTTGAAGACACCTTTGGGCATGATTTAATAGCCTATTAATACTTGTCTAAATCTTGTTTTTCAGCATAGCGCACATTAATGGAGCTCCCAAAAATTCGTAAGAATATATCTATATATAATACAAGTGATTCCATCTTAGGATTTTGAAGTATTCTGGAGGTCACCTAATGCAATCTTTAGTCAGTGAGTTAATCCTGTGCCATTTCTAATAAATAGTCATTTATCTTGTTCTTGAACATTGTTAGTATTGGGTAATTTACAGCTTTTTAAGGTATTAGTGAAGAGATATAACTTCAATGTTTACATGTTATATGAAAAAGTGTCTCCTTTTAAATTCTATCCATTGATCCTATTTTTGCTTTTTGGGAAGAGTTGGTAGGATTACTCCATACTTCTTCAACCATTTCTCATATGGCATAATCACAAAATACTGCGTTTCTCTGGTTTCCTATTTCAGAATGTTTCTTAGTTTGTTAATGTTTTCCTAAATATCTAGTCAAGAGTTGGGCAAATTTTAAGTGCAGTAAATAAAAATAGATAACTGAGAAATAAGCAGATTCTTCATCATCACAAACAGATCTTTTTTTTTTTTTTTTTTTTTTTTTTTTTTTTTGAGACAGAGTCTTCCTCTGTCCCCCAGGCTGGAGTGCAGTGGCGAGATCTCAGCTCACTGCAAGCTCTGCCTCCCGGGTTCATGCCATTGTCCTGCCTCAGCCTCCTGAGTAGCTGGGACTACAGGTGCCCGCCACCATGCCTGGTTAATTTTTTGTATTTTTAGTAGAGGCGGGGTTTCACTGTGTTAGCCAGGATGGTCTCGATCTCCTGACCTCGTGATACGCCCGTCTCGGCCTCCCAAAGTGCTGGGATTACAGGCGTGAGCCACTGTGCCCAGCCACAAATAGATCTCTTAAATCTGTGTATTTGATATTATATCCATATACTCAAATATTTTTATAACATTTTATTATAAATGAAAAACATTAAGTAATACTAGTATTTAGAATAGCTTACGTCTAAGCTGCCCATGGTCATATTAGTAACATTTCACAAAAATTATATATTGGGACAAGGCAGAAATTGATAACTAATCACAAAAGGTATTGTGTAAGATTATTAAAGAGATTCATAGATTTTTAAATTAAAAATCAGAAGACTCCAGACACTCGGTCTCCCTCCCAAAAGCAAGTCACTTTTACCAGTCTATGTACCTCCTAATTTTCTGTTGCTTTTTAGAAATGCTTTCTCTCATGACAATAAGTTTTAAACAATGCTTCATGTAAATAAAGTAATTGACAGGCAAAATGACAATGAAGAAGGAAGAAATGGAATTATCTTGGAGATTTGAATTGCTTTCACTTGGACATTTAATAATTTCTTTTACAAAAGACATAGGATATTTACACTTTGGAATTTTCAGTTTCAAAGATGGGAAGGATAAATTTGTTTCCTGCTGAGAAAATTTTCAAAGAAGTTTTAGAGTTTTCAAAATAGTTATAGCCAACAATCCTAAAGATTTCTTTCTCAAGTAGTATGAAATGGTTTGCAAACTAATCATTTGATAGAGATTATAGTTTTTTTCCATAGGAAATGGCTTTTTAGATCTAAATTGACAGTGCTGCACTGTCTTTACTTATTCCTCTGATTGTTTATAGATATTATGAATCCCTTGGATGCAGAAATTTTAGGGAGAGTGATAATAGCTTTATGAGGAGTGGATGGACTCACAATTAGATCATCTAAAATATTATATATGCTATAAAATGCACTTTGCTGAATTGATTTTTTCATTAAATAATTACTGCTGAACACAACTTCTTGAGTAAACAGGTGCCAAAATTTACTAATTTTTTGTTATATCTCAAAAGAAAGCTAAAGTTCATTGCCATAATATGAACTTACTGTATACTCACATGGTGGAGAGAGAGAGAGGAGAGAGAGAGAGAGAGAGAGAGAGACTCCCTTCTTATAAGGGCACTAATCCCATCATAAGGGCTTCATCCTCATGAGGCAATCATTTCCCAAAGTACATATCTTCAAATTCCATTACATTGGAGATTTATGTTTCAATATGATTTTGGGGTACACAAGCATTCCATCCATAGCATTCTTCAAAATGGATCATAAACCTACATGTAAAGTACAAAACTTTAAAACTCTTAGAAGATAATATAGCAGGAAACCTAGATGACTTTGGTGATGGGGATGACTTTTTAGTTACAACACCAAAGGCACAACCTATGAAAGAAAAAATTGATGAGATAGACTTCATTAATATTAAAAACTTCTATGTTAAAAAAGACACTGTCAAGAAAATAAGACAAGCTGCAAACTGGAAAAAACATTTGCAAAACCACAGCCAATAAAGGACTTCTATTCAAGATATACAAAGAACTCTTAAAATCCATCAATAACAAATTAAAAATTCCAATAGAAAATGGGCTGGAACCAGGTGCAGGAGCACATACCTGTAGTCCCAGCTACTTGAGAGAATGAGATTTAGAAGTTGCTTGAGCCCAGGAGTTTGAGGCCAGCCTAGAAAATATGGCAAGACCCTGTCCATAAAACAAACAAACAAACAAAACAAATTAAAAAAATCAAAAGGGCCAAAGATTTTAAGACACCTTACCAAAGAAGATATATATACAGATGGCCGACAAGCATATGAAAAGATGCTTCATATCACATGTCATTAGGGAAATGAAAATTAAAACTACAATATTATACCACTATATACTCATTAGAATGGCCAAAATCCAGAACACTGACAAAACCAAATGCTGACCAGGATGGTGGAGCAACAGGAACTCTCATCGCTGGTGGGAATATAAAGTGGTACAGCCACTTTGAAAGAAAATTTCGCAGTTTCATACAAAACTAAGCATAACACTTTCCATATCACCCAACAATGATACTTCCTGATGTTCCCCTAAATAGGCTGCAAACTTAAATTCTCACTAAAATCTGCACATAGATATTTATAGCAGCTTTCTTCATAATTGCCAAAACCTGGAAGCAACCAAGATATCCTTCAGTAGGTGAATGGATAAACAAACTGTGATACATCTAGAGGATGGAATATTATTCAACACCAAAAACAATAAACTATCAAGCCATGAAAAGACACAGAGGAAACTTAAATGTATATTGCTAAGTCCAAGAAGCCAGTGTGAAAAGTCTATGTAGTGTATGATTACAACTATATGACATTCAAAGAAGCCAGCGTGAAAAATCTACATGGTGTATGACTTCAACTATGTGACATTCTGGAAAAGGCAAAATTCTGGAAAAGTAAAAATATTAGTGGTTGGCCAGGTATAGAGGGGATGGAGGAAGAGAAGAAAAGGCAGAGCACAGAGGATTTTTTTTTTTTTTTTTTTGAGTCGGAGTCTCACTCTGTTGCCCAGGCTGGAGTGCAGTGGCGTGATCTCGGCTCACTGCAAGATCCGCCTCCTGGGTTCACGCCATTCTCCCGCCTCAGCCTCCCACGTAGCTGGGACCACAGGCGCCCACGACCAAACCCGGCTAATTTTTTGTATTTTTAGTAGAGACGGGGTTTCGCCGTTTTAACCAGGATGGTTTTGATCTCCTGACCTTGTGATCCTCCCTCCTTGGCCTCCCAAAGTGCTGGGATTACAGGCGTGAGCCACCATGCCCGGCCGCACAGAGGATTTTTAGGGCAGTGAAACTATTCTGTAGGATACTATAATGGTGGATATATGTCATTATACATTTTCCAAAACCCATGGAATATACAAAAACAAAATGAAACAACTAATGTAAGCTGGATTTTGAATCATGATGGGTCAATATAGATTCATAATTGTAATAAATGTACCACTGGGGGCTTCAAGTTTACAGTGTGGAAGCTGTGCATATGTGGGGAGAGGGAGTATACGAAATTTTTCTGTATTTTCTGCTTAATCTTTCTGTGAATTTAACACCACTGTAAAAAACAAAATCTATTTGAAGGAATAAAAGAATAAATTATATAAACATGTAATTAAGTTTTATTAAAAAGTAATAAGTATTCAAAATAAAAATAAGTGTTCTATTTCTATATTTCCAGGAAGAAAGTAAATCATTTAGTTGATTAGCATTTTGGAAATTATGATAAATAAATTGTGAGAAAGATACTACTGATGCGAAGCTATATAATTGTTACTGACAGAAACATTTCCTGTTAAGTCTTATTATTTTAGAGACTTTTCCAATATACTTCAGCCACTTGGAAGAAGCAAAATAGTGTGCAGAGATTCAGTTGTGGACTTTCATTCAATAAGGACCCTGAGAATTTAACAGAAAGCAAGATAATATGTCAGATAATAGGGAAGAGAGGGTGGTCATGCAGTCTGCATTGAGGGGCCAGGCTGAAGTCTGTGAGTGAAACCCCAATGTGGGAGAGAAGCGGAGAGTGTCGTTCAATGATCCACCTTTCCCTTGGGAAACTCTCCAACCAAGCCACTGGTGAGCACCCTGTCCCTCCCAAGCCCTGGACCTAACCTGGGGAGAGGCTGGGAGACTGTAAGAAGGAATGTCACTGGGAAGTGCTTCAAGCACTGATCCAGACTTGGGACCCAGTTGGAGGACGCCATTCTCAATTCTAGCTCATAACAAGCTGGGAGGGTCCCTGCAAGCTAGCAGCTACAACAGCCAAGGGGATTACAGAGTTTCAAGATGGAATTTAGAGTGCTGGGTCTGCTGGGGAAGAGGGCCCACAGCCAGAACTGACAGGCAAGTGTGGTGTGTTTTCTAGCCATAAGCGCTGGAATTGGACTCTCCTGATGTAGACCAGAGCAGAAGGAGATTGGCTGGAGAGGTATGGTTTTGCCCAAGCAGCCAGTTTTACAGTCAGAAGCAGCTTTGCAAACTAAAAGACAAACTGCATGTGACTTCACTGAGTGTCCTAACTTGCTCTTCCAGTCAGAATGAGGGAGTGAGCCTTCTTGGGTCTGCAGAGTGAGAACAATGCGGATCCCACACCCAGCGGCTTATCTGGGCTAGAGACGTGGGCCATGGGCTACCTCTCTCTTCTCATGCAGGAAATAGGTGTGGCAGTGGCAGATCCATACTTCACTTAGGCTTATCTCCAGCCAACTCACAGTGACCCTGAAAGATATTAAATGGCAATAGGACAGAATTTCATCAAAGCACAAAGACAAACAGACAGATAAAAACAGGAAGAAAGAATCCACAAAATGACAACAGAGTAGTTAACATTATGACAGGAAAAAAAAAAAAACCTCACTTCAATATTAACCTTGAACATATATGGATTAAATGCTTCACTTAAAAAGTCTATTGGCAGAATAAGCCAAAGAACATGAACCAACTATACACTGTTTAGAAGAAACTCACCCTACTGGTAAAAATATTTATAGACTGAAGGTAAAGGGGTGTAAAAAGATATTCCACACTTCATGTCTGTAGCAACATTGGGAACCAAAAATGAGCAGGGTAACTCTGCTTATATCAGAAAAAACAAACTTTTTTATTTTAATGTTTGTGGGTACAGAGTAGGTGTATATATTTATGGGTTACACGAAATATTTTGATACAGGCATGCAAAGTGCAAAAATCACATCAAAGAAAATGGGGTATCCATCCACTCAAGCATTTTCTTTTCTCTTACAAGCAATCAAATTATACTCTTTCAGTTACTTCAACATGTAAAATTAAATTATTTTGACTATAATCATTTTGTTGTGGTATCAAATGCTACATATTATTTATTCTTTCAAACTATTGCTTTTGTACCCATTAACCATCCCAATTCCCATGACTTCTTACTACCCTTCCCAGCATCTGGTAACCATCCTTCTATTCTCTATCTCCATGTGTTCATGTGTTTTGATTTTTACATGTCACAAATAAGAAGATGCAATGTTTGTCTTTCTGTGCCTGACTTATTTCACTTAGCATAATGACCTAGAGTTGCAACAATGTTGTTGCAAATAAGAGGATCTCATTCTTGTTTAGGGCTGACTAGTACTCCATTGTGTATAAATACCATATTTTCTTTATCCATTCATCTGTCAATTAACAATTAGGCTGCTTCCAAATCTTGGTTATTGTGAACAGTGCTGCAACAAACATGGCAGTACAGTTATCTCTTTGATATACTGACTTTCCTTCTTTTGGTATCTAGCTAGCGCTGAGATTACTGGATCATATGGTAGCTCTATTTTTAATTTTTGGTGGAACCTCCAAACTGTTCTTCATAGCAGTTGCACTAATTTACATTCCTACCAACAATGTATGAGGGTTCCATTTTTCCACATCCTTTCTGGCGTTTGTTATCTCCTGTCTTTTAGAGAAAAGCCATTTTAACTAGGGTTAGATGATATGTCATTGTAGTTTTGATTTGCATGTCTCTGATGATCGATGATGTTAAGCACCTTTTCACATGCCTGTTTGTCATTCATATGTACTTTTTAGAAATGTCTATTCAAATCCTTTGCTGATTTTTAAATCAGATTGTTAGATTTTTTTTCCTATTGAGTTATTTGAGCTTGCTGTATATTTTAATTATGAATCCCTTGTCAGATAGAAAGTTTGAAAATATTCTCTACTATTCTGTACACTGTTTCTTCACTTTGCTGATTGCTTTCTTTGTCACATAGGTGCTTTTTAAATTGGTGTGATCCCATTTGTCCATTTTTGCTTTGGTTGCCTGTGGTTGTAGGGTATTACTCAAGAAATTTTTGCCAAGACCAATGTGCTGGAGAGTTTCTCCAATGTTTTATTGCAGTAGTTTTGCAGTTAGAAACACTTAGATTTGAGTCTTTAATCCATTTTGATTTCTTTTTTAAAAGATATGGTGAAAGATAGGCATCTAGTATCATTCTTCTGCTCATTGCTGGCATGTAGATGTGCTACTGATTCTTGTATGCTCATTTTGTAACCTGAAATTTTCCTAAATTTGTTTATCAGTTCTCGTAGTGCTTTGATGGAGTCTTTAGGTTTTCCCAAATATAGGATCATATCATCTCTAAAGAAGAATAATTTACATTCTTCCTTTCCTATTTGGATGCCCTTTATATCTTTGTCTTATCTGATTGTTCTAATTAGGACTTCTAGTAGTACATTTATTAATAGCAATGAAAGTGAGCATCCTTGTTGTGTTCCAGATCTTAGAGAAAAGGCTTTCAGTTTTTCACCACTTAGTATGGTACTAGCTGTGGTGTGTCATATATGGCCTTATTATGTTGAGGTATGCTTCTTCTATATCCAGTTTTGTGAGGGATTTTATCATAAAAGGATGTTAAATTTTGTCAAATGTGTTTCCACCATAAATTAAAATGATCATATAGTTTTTGTCCTTCATTCTATTGATATATCACATTGATTAATTTGCATAGATTGAACCATGCTTGCATCCCAGGGATAAATCCCATTTGCCATAATGAATTATCTTTTTAATGTATTGTTGAATTCAGTTTGCTATTATTTTGTTAAGGACTTTTGCATGAATATTCATCAGACATATTGGCCTGTAGTTTTCTTTTTTTGATGTGTGTTTGTCTGGTTTTCATATCATGGTAATATTAGCCTTGTAGAATGAGTTTGGAATTATTGCCTTCTCTTCTATTTTTTGGAATAGTTTCAATAGGATTGGTATTAGATCTTCTTTCAATGTTTGGTAGACATTTAAATGTTTGGTAGCAGTAAAATCATCATGTCCCAGGCTTTTCTTTACTGAAACACTTTTTATTATGGCTTTGATCTCCCTACTTATTATTGGTCTGTTCAGTTCTGGATTTTTTCATAGTTCAATATTGGCAGGTTGTATGTGCCTAGGAATTCATCCATTTCCTCTAGATTTTCCAATTTAATGGCATATAGTTCATAGTTGCCACTGATGATCATTTGAATTTCTGTGGTATAAATTGTAAATGTCTCCTTTTTCAACTCTGATTTTATTTATTTGGGCTTTTTCCCTTTTTTCTTTATTAGTCTGGTTTGTCAATTTTGTTTATCTTTTCAAAAAAACCAACTTTTTGTTCTATTGATTAATTGTATTGTTTTATTAATTTCAAATTTATTTATTTATGCTGTTATCTTATTATTTTCCTATACTAATCTTGGGTTCAGTCTTCTCTTGATTCTATTTCACTAAGTTGCGTCCAGAGTAGAAAACCCAGAAACAAATCTACATACCTATAGTGAACTCATTTTTGACAAAGGTACAAAGACCATACACTGGGGAAAACACAGTTTCTTCAATAAATGGTGCTGGGAAAACTAGATATCCATATGCGAAAGAATGAAACTAGATCCCTATCTATCACCATATAAAAATCAAATTAAAATGGATTAAAGACTTAAATCTAAGACCTCAACCTATGAAGCTACTACAAGAATATATTGGGGATAATCTCTGGTACATTTGCCTGGGCAAAGATTTCTTGAGAATTTCCCCACAAAACCAGGCAACCAAAGCAAAAATAGACAAGTGGTATCACATCAAGTTAAAAAGCTTCTTCACTGCACAGGATACAATGAACAAAGTGAAGAGACAACCCACAGAATGGGAGAATAATTTGCAAACTTCCTACCTGACAAAGGAATAACCAGTACATATAAGCAGCTCAAACAACTGTATAGGAAAATAAATCTAATAACCTGATTCAAAATGGGCAAAGGATTTGAACAGACATTTCTCAAAAGAAGACATACAAATGGCAAACAGGCATATGAAATGGCACTCAACATTTTTGATCATCAGAGAAATGAAAATCAAAGCTACAATGAGATATCATCTCACCCCAGTTAAAATGGCTTTTATCCAAAAGACAGGCAACAACAAATGCTGGCAAGATTATGAAGAAAAGAGAACCCTTGTACACAGTTGATGGGAATGTAAATTTGTGCACTCACTACGGAGAAAAATTTGGGGGTTCCTCAAGAAACTAAAAATAGAGCTACCATATGATCCAGCCATCCTTCTTCTGGGTATATACCCCAAATAAATGAAATCAGGGTATTGAAGAGATATCTGCACTCCTATGTTTGTTGCAGCACTGTTTACAATAGCTAAGATTTGGAAGCAACTGAAGTGTCCATTAACAGATAAATGAATAAAGAAGATGTGGTACATACACACAATGGAGTATTTTTTAGCCATAAAAAGAATGAAATCCAGTCATTTGCAATAACATGGATGGAAGTGGAGATCATTATATTAAGTGAAATAAGCAAGGCAGAGAAAGACAACATCATATGTTCTCACTTATTTGTGTGATTGTAAAATCAAAACAATCGAACTCATTAACAAAGAGCATAGAAGAATGATTACTAGAGGCTGGGAAGTGTAGAGGGGGGCATCAAGTTCATCTGTGGATAATTAATGGGTACAAAATATAGAAAGAATGATTAATAGCTATGATTTAATAGCACAATAAGATGACTATAGTCAATAATTACTTAGTTGTACATTTTATAATAACCTAAAGTGTTTAATTGGATTTCTTGTAATTCAAAGGATAAATGCTTGAGATGGGTACCCCATTACCCATGATGTGCTTATTTCACATGGCATGCCTGTATCAAAACATCTCATATACTTCATAAATATGTACATTTACTATATACCCACAAAACTTAAAAAATTAAATATTCATCATCTGGTTATTTATTTGCAGTTTTTCTTCTTTTTTGATGTAGGTGCTTACAGCTATAAATTCCCCTCTTTGTATTGCATTTCCTGTATCCCATATATTTGGGTTTGTTGTGTTTCCATTATTGTTTGTTTCAAGAAATGTTTCAATTTTCATGTTAATTTCTTCACTGACCTACTAGTCATTCAAAAGCATATTGTTTAATTTCCATTTGTTTATATAATTTCCAAAATTTCTCTTGTTTTTGATTTCAAGTTTTATTGCATTGTTGTCAGAGTAGATGCTTGATATTTATTTCAAGTTTTTTAATGTTTTATGACTTGTTTTGTGACCTAACACATAGTCTATCCTTGAGAATAATTCATGTGCTGAGGAAAATAATATGTGTACTACAGCCTTTGAATGGAAATGTTCTGTAAATATGTGTTAGATCCATTTGTTCTATAGTGTAGATTAAGTCAGATGTTTCTTTCTTTATTACATTGAGGTCTATCTCTCTTCAGCTGTAATGCATTCACTTTATATATCTGAGTGCTTCAGTGTTGGTTGCATATATATTTACAATTATTATATCATGCTGATGTATTGACCCCTTCATTATTATATAAGACCTTCTTTGTCTCTCGCAGCTTTTGTCTTGAAATCTATTTTTTCTGATACAAGTATAGCTACTCGTTCTTTTTTTGTTTTTGTTGTTGCCAGTTGGCATGGAATATCTTTTTCCCATCCCTTTATTTTCAGTCTATGTGCATCTTTGTAGGTGAAGTGCAGTTCCTGTAGGCAACAGATCATAGGGGTCTTGTTTTTTCATTCACTCAACCATTCTATATCTTTTGATGGAAGAGTTTAGTCCATTTACATTTAATGTTATTGTTGACAAGTAGGGACTTACTCCTGTCATTTGGTTATTTTCTCCTTGTTTTGTGGTCCTCTCCTCCCTCATTTCTTCCTTCCTATCTTCTTTTTAGTGAAATTCATCTTCTATGGTGGTGTGATTTAATTTCTTGCTTTTTATTTATTGTGTATCTGTTGTATGTTTTTGGATTTGAGGTTACTGTGAGGCTTGCAAACACTATCTTATACTTCATTATTTAAAACTGATGATAACACTGATTGCATAAACAACCAATCATGCAAAAAGAAAACTAATAAAAACATTACACATTAACTTCATCCTCCTGCTTTTTAACTTTTTGTTGTTTCTTTTCATGTATAATTGTACTATGTCTTAAAAAGTTGTAATAATTATTTTTTGTTAGTTCATCCATTTTTCTTTCTACTTAGAATAAGAGTAGTTTATACACCATGATTGCAGTGTTATATTTTGTGCTTTTCTGTGTGCTATTATTAGTGAGGTTTGTATTATACCTTCAGATGATTACTTATTGCTCATTAACATTTTTTCTTTCAATTTAAAAATTCCTTTTAGCATTTCTTGCAAGGTAGGTCTCATGTTGATGAAATCCCTCCACTGTTATTTTTCTGGGAAGGTCTTTATTTATCCTTCATATTTGAAGGGTATTTTTGCTGGATTACTATTCTGGGGAAAAAGTTGTTTTTCTTTGTTTTTTTTTTTTGTTTTTTGTTTTTTTCCTTCAGCACTTTAAATATGTCATGCCACTCTCTCTGGTCTATAAGGTTTCCACTGAAAAGTCTACTGTCAGACACATTGAACCCCCATTGTATGTTATTTGTTTCTTTTCTGTTGGTGCTTTCAGGATCCTTTCTTTATCCATTACCTTTGGGAGTTTGATTATTAAATACCTTGAGGTAGTCTTCTTTGGATTAAATCTTCTTGTTGTTCTATAATCTTCTTGCATTTGAATGTTGATATCTTTCTCTAGGTTTGGGAAATTATCTGATTTTATTTCTTTGAATAAACTTTCTATCTCTATCTTTTTCTCTGCCACCTCTTTAAGACTAATCACTCTTAGATTTGCCCTTTTGCAGTGATTTTCTAGATTTTGTAGGTGTGCTTCATTGTTTTTGTTTTTTTCTTTTATTTCCTCTGTGTATTTTCAAGTAGCCTGTCTTCAAGCTCACTGATTCTTCTACTTGATTAATTTTGATATCAAGAGACGATGGTGCATTCTTCAGTAAGCCAAATGCATTCTTCAACTCTAAAATTTCTGCTCTATTCCCTTTAATTATTTCAATCTCTTTGTTAAATTTACATAATAGGCTTCTGAATTCTTTCTCTGTTATTTTGCATTCCTTTGAGTTTCCTCAAAGTCGTTAGTTAGAATTCCTGCCTGAAAGGTCATATGTCTCTGTTTCTTCTGAATTGGTTTCCGGTGCCCCATTTAGTTTGTTTAGTAAGGTCATGTTTTCCTGGAAGATCTTGATGCTCATAGATGTTCGTCAGTGTCTGAGCATTGAAGAGTGAGATATTTATTATAGTCTTCACAGTCTGTGCTTATTTGTGCCTGTCCTTCTTGAGAGGCTTTTCAGGTATTTGAAGAGACTTGGGCCCCAAACCCAGTATCGCTGTGGCTTTTGAAGACTCATACAGGTAACACCTTGCTACCTCGCTGGTCTTGGAAAAGATTTGGGAAACTTCCCTGGATTACAAGGCATAGAATCTTATTTTTTACCTTACTTTCTCCCAAACAAACAGAGTCTCTCTCTCTCTATGATAGCCCTCTGGAACTGGGGGTATGGAGTTGCAAGCACACCTGTGGCCACCACACTTTGTAATGTGCTGTGTCAGATCTGCAGCCAACACAACACTGGGTCTTGCCCAATGCCCACTATAACCGCTACCTGGCTACCATCTATGTTCCCTCAAGGCCCTAGGGCTCTACAATCAGCAGGTGGTGAGACCAGCTGGGTTTGTGTCTCTCCCTTCAGGGTGACGAGTTCCATCTGGCCCCAGGAAGCTCCAGAGATGCTGTTTGAAAGCCAAGGACTGGGGGCATAAACATTGGAAATCTTCCTGATCTTCTCTTCTACTGTGGCTAAGCTGGCACTCAAACCATAGTATAAAGTCCTTCCCACTTTTCACTCCTCTTTTCACAGGCAGAGAAGCCTCTCCCTTTGGGCATCACCACCACTGGTCTTCAGGGGTGTTCTGCCAGCTCACTATTGATGTTCACTTAAAGCCCAAGGGCTCTTTCATCAGCTTCTGGTGAATGTTGCCAAGCCTGGGACTCATCCTTCAGGGAAGGAGTCTCACTGTAGCCACCACAGCTGGGAATGTGCGTGGTTACACTTGTAGTCAGCATGTCTCAGAACATGAGCCCCACAGCATACTACCTGGGTATTGCTGCTGGTTAGTCAGGGCCCAAGGGCTCATTAGTCAGCAGATGATGAATCCTACAACGACTTGGTTTTTCCTTCAAGGCAGTGGGCTCCCTTTTGGGCAAGGGTGTGCCTAGAAATGTCATCTTGGAGCCAGGGCTTGAAATTAGGACCTCACAACCATTCCCAGTGCCCTATCCTACTGTGGCTAAGTTGGTATCCGAGATGCAAGTCAAAATACTCTTTACTCTTCACTCTCTACCCTTAGGCAGAGGAAAAAAGAAACTTTCATTGCTGCTAGACATGCTGCTTGGGGATGGGGCAAGGATGGTGCAAGCATTCCTTTAGCCATCCTGGCTGGTGTCTCCCTAGGTCACATGCCACACTAGACCTCTGACTCTCAACCCTGCCAAGCACTAAGAGATGCCTAGTAATTACAGTGCTTGGGTCCTAGACTGCTTTTCAAGTTTGCCTAGAACTCCAGAGCACTTCAGCCTGTAGTGGTAAGGCTTGCCAAAGAATTAGAGTTCCGACAAATGGGATGAGAGATTCCCCTCTGGATAGGTCTAGTACAAATGTTCCCTCTGTGTGTGAGCAATGGCTGAGCCCAGGATGACTTACCCTCTGCCATGACAGGGCAGCATTGAGTTCAATGTAATGTTCCCCAGTCACTGTGCTCTCCCTCCCCAAAGGGCACAGACACTCCATGCTTTACAGCCATTACTGGGGAGTGGGGAAGGGGTGGTTTTGGCTATTCAAAACTTTCCCTCCTGCCCTCCTCAATGCCTCTTGCAATGATACGAAGTTTAAACCAGATACTGTGATTGTCTACCTGATTTTTGGTTCTTGTGATGGTGCTCTCCTGTGTTCAGATAGTTGTTAAAATTTGGGGTCCCTGCAGGGGGATTGAACAGTGTAGGCTTCTATTTTGCCATCTTCCTCCACTCTAAGATGAAACCATTGCGAGTGTGTGGCACCTCCCCTCTCTCTCTCTCTTGCTCCTTTTGTGGCTATGTAACGTGCCTGCTACCCCTTTATCTTCCATCATGATTGCAAGTTTCCTGAGACCTCCCCAGAAGCCAAGCAGATACCAACATCATGTTCCTGGGCAGTCTGCAGAACCTTGAGCCAATTAAATTTCTTATCTATATAAATTACCCAGTGTCGAGTATTTCTTTATAGCAAAGCAAGACTGGCTAATACACAGTTCTAAGATGCAAGTTTATAGTGTTTAATGCCTACAGTGAAAAAGGTAGAAAAACCACAATTTAAAAATCGAATGCCACTCCTCGAGTAACTAGAAAGAAAAGGACAAACCAAACACAAACTAGCAGAGTAAAAGAAATAACAATCATTATAACAGAACTAAATAAATTTGGGACCAACAAAACAACACAAAGAATTAACAAAAGAAAATGTTGGATTTTTTTTAAAAGATAAAATTGGTAAAACTCTGGCAAGACTAGCCAAGAAAAGAGGACACAATATTCAAATGAACATAATAAGAAATGAAAAAGGAGACATTACAACTGATACCACAGAAATACAAAAGATCATCAGAGGCTACTATGAACAACTATGTATTCAAAAACTAGAAAATATAGAGAAAGGGAAAAAATCCTGAAAATATTTTCCTGAAATGCTTTCCTCATTTTTCTCATTTTCCTGAAATGAGGCTTCCTGAAAATCCTCCCAATATTGAACCATTAAGAAATAGAAACCCCGAACACACCCATAATGAGCGGTGAGATTGAATCAGTAATAAAAAAATTTCACAATAAAAAACAGCCCAGGACCATATGGATTGACAGCTGAATTCCATCAAACATGCAAAAAAGAAGTGGTACCAATTCTACTGAAACTGTTTCAAAATTGAGGAGAAGCACATGCTCCCTAATTTATTCTATAAAGTCAATATCATCCTGATAGCAGATCTCGAAAATGATATGACCAAATCAAGAAAACTACAGAGCAATGTCATATATACACTATCATTATATTTTCAGTTGTTCCAGAATACAATACATATCTTAATTATGCTTATTGTCTATTAAAAGAGAATATTTTTCCAGGTAGAAAATTTTGAAAATATGAAATAAAAACTAATAGCAGCAAAGCAAAATCAAACAAAAGAGAACTTTTTAAGCACTTACCATAAATTTTTACTATACTGATTTCTTAACCATTTTCCTTCACTGATAAATTTATATAGGTATACTTTTAAAAACTCATTTCAATAACAGCTAATTTATAATCTTTCCAAATTACAGCAAGTGTTGTTCCAGATTGGGTCTGAAATTAGGGTATTTGTATGGGTTTTTCAAAAAGAACAGTATAGGTAAAAGAGAAAGTTGGGAAAGTTATGGTATGAGGTAAACAAAGTTGTGAGTTTTCTTCTCCAAAAATACTCTGACAGAACTTACAGTCAGTTCTTATTGATTACAACTACATTTTTAGGCTCAAATGAACAGATTATTGATAGTCAAACTGAGTAATCACCAGGAAAATATTAACAAAGAAGATTTTTAAAAATCACACTGCCAATGTATTTTGACTAAAAATCACAAGAAATAGATATTTTAATGCCAATAAACAGAACATAATAGGCATAGGTACACTCTTCCCAGCAGCTTTATGATGGGGGACTTGTAACTGGGATGATAAGCTCTTTTTTTTTCTACATTCTACTACACAATTGTTTCAAGGTTGACTGCACTTGTGATGAAAGAAGCTATTTTATAAGAAAATAATTTATTTACTTATGGGAAAATTCTATATTTTCAAGAAATATTTTGAGCACATTATATTCTCTGAAGGCACATTTACTTAAAAAGGTATAGGAAAATGGTGTGTTGATGACCTTAAATTGCCTAAATAGTAAAAATTAAAAAAGCAGATATGTGTAATTCCCATAGGACATGGATATTTTTTCCATTCTCAGAAGATGAAATTAACTGTGGGACCAATATGATCCAGGTTAATGGGATTCATACTTTAAGCGTGGAAAACAGTGAGTTTTCATGGAGAATGAGGGCTTGATCTCACAAAACTAAGTGGAGCCTGGAAGAGCAGGACCCTAGAAATACTAAGAAATGGTTCAGAATTAGAGAGATGACCAAGTGAGTGGCCATAGAGGAGCCAGCAGAGCAGTTTGAGGTTACTTACACATTTACCCTAGGTCTAAACTCTGGTTAGAAAATAAGATGTACCATGGAATACTATGCAGCCATAAAAAGAAATGAGATCATGTCCTTTGCAGGGACACAAATGGAGTTGGAAGTCATTATTCTCAGCAAACTAACACAGGAGCAGAAAACCAAACACCGCATGTTCTCATTATAAGTGGGATTTGAATGTTGAGAACACATGAACATATGGGGTTGGGGAATAAAACACACTGGGTCCTGTCAGAGAAAGGTGGGAAGGAGAGCATCAGGAAGAACAGCTCATGGATACTAGGCTTAATACCTAGGTGATTGGATGATCTGTGTAGCAAACCACCATGGCACATGTTTACTTACGTAATAAACCTGCACATCCTGTATATGGACCCCGAACTTAAAATGAAGGTTGAAGAAAAAAAAAAAAAGAAAATAAGATGTACTAAATACTCAAGAAACAGAAAGTCACAAAGATAAAAATATTGGATAATGGAGACCTCAGAGGAAAAGAATTCATAATGATATTTATCATTAACCAATCTACTCTTCTTTTGTAGGCCTTTCATGCATATTTCAACCACCAAGACCTTATCAGTTCATTCAGCAAAGATTGCTTATTCTGCATATCAGTATTTCAGTGAAAAACTAGCCTAATGCCTGGTTATGTGAGATGGGCATTATTCAAAGTATAGAACTTATTCATCCTTGGGAAACTCATGTAGGTAAAGAAGTTTTTCAAATACTAAACCATTCAGTTAGCTAACTCAGACTTTGGCAAGTTAGTGGCTTAGATTAATAGTTTTTAAAAGACACATTTTCTATTACATATTTGTGGTAAAATCCCATTAGTATTTGGCTACAAACTTTAGCTCCTTTAAACCCAACTAAAAATATTTCATGAGATGAAATAAATCTAACACTGAAATTTAATATAAATATCTTAAGTTCAGCCAGAGAGAAAGGTCAGGTTACCCACAAAGGGAAGCCCATCAGACGAACAGCAGATCTCTCTGCAGAAAACCTGCAAGCCAGAAGAGAGTGGGGGCCAATATTCAACATTCTTAAAGAAAAAAAATTTTAACCCAGAATTTCAAAACCAACCAGACTAAACTTCATAAGTGAAGGAAAAATAAAATCCTTTACAGGAAAACAAGTACAGAGAGATTTTGTCACCACCAGGCCTGCCTTACAAGAGCTCCTGAAGGAAGTGCTAAAGATGGAAAGGAAAAACGGATACCAGCCACTGAAAAAACATACCAAATTGTAAAGGCCATCAACACTATGAAGAAACTGCATCAACTAGCAGACAAAATAACCAGCTAGCATCATAATGACAGGATCAAATTCACACTAACAATATTAACCTTAAATGTAAATGGGCTAAATGCCCCAATTAAAAGACACAGGCTGGCAAATTGGATAAAGAGTTAAGACCCATCAGTGTGCTGTATTCAGGAGACCCATCTCACCTGCAAAGACACACATAGACTCAAGATAAAGGGGTAGAGGGAGATTTAGTAAGCAAATGGAAAGCCAAAAAAAAAAAAAAAAAAAGCAGGGGTTGCAATCCTAGTCTCTAATAAAACAGACTTTAAACCAACAAAGATAAAAAAAAGACAAAGAAGGCCATTATATAATGGTAAAGGGATCAATGCAACAAGAAGAGCTAACTATCCTAAATATATATGCACCCAATACAGGAGCATCCAGATTCATAAAGCAAGTTCTTAGAGACCTTCAAAGAGACTAAGACTCCCACACAATAATAATGGGAGACTTTAGGGCCAGGTGTGGTGGCTCATGCCTGTAATCCCAGCACTTTGGGAGGCTGAGGCAGCCAGATCATGAGGTCAGGAGATCAAGACCATCCTGGCCAACATGGTGAAACCCTGTCTCTACTAAAATACAAAAAAATTAGCCAGGCATGGAGGTGCATGCCTGTAGTCCCAGCTACTCAGGAAGCTGAGGCAGGGAAATTGCTTGAAGCCGGGAAGTGGAGGTTGCAGTGAGCCCAGATCATGCCACTGCACTTCAGCCTGGTGACAGAGGAAGACTCTGTCTAAAAAAAAGAAAAAAAAAATAGTGGGATACTTTAATACCCACTATCAATATTACACAGATCAATGAGACAGAAAATTAACAAGGATATTCAGGACTTGAACTCAGCTCTGGACCAAGCAGACCTAATAGGATCTACAGAACTCTCCACCCCAAATCAACAGAATATACATTGTTCTCAGGGCCACATCACACTTATTCTAAAATTGACCACATAATGGGAAGTAAAACACTCCTCAGCAAATGCAAAAAAAGGGAAATCATAACAAACAGTCTCTCAGATCACAGTGCAATCAAATTAGAACTCGGGACTAAGAAACTCACTCTAAACTGCACAACTACATGGAAACTGAACATCCTGCTACTGAATGGCTATTGGGTAAATAATGAAATTAAGGCAGAAATAAATAAGTTCTTTGAAACCAATGAGAACAAAGACACAATGTGCCAGGATCACTGGGACACAGCTAAAGCAGTGTTTAGAGGGAAATTTATAGCACTAAATGCCCATAGGAGAGAGTGGGAAAGATCTAAAATTGACACCCTAACATCACAATTAAAATAACTAGAGAAGCAACAGCAAACAAATTCAAAAGCCAGCAGAAGACAAGAAATAACTAAGATCAGACCAGAACTGAAGGGATAGAGGCACGAAAATCCCTTCAAAAAAATCAATGAATCCAGGAGCTGTTTTTTTTTTTTAAAGATTAACAAAATAGATAGATGGCTTGCCAGACTAATAAGGAAGAAAAGAGAGAAGAATCAAATAGACACAATAAAACATGATAATGGGGATATCACCACTGATCCCACAGAAATACAAACTACTATCTGAGAATACCTCTATGCAAATAAACTAGAAAATCTAGAAAAAATGGTTAAATTCCTGGACACATACACCCTTAAGAGACTAAACGGGGAAGAAGTCGAATCCCTGAATAGATCAATAACAGGTTTTGAAATTTAGGCAGTAATTAATAGCCTACCAACCAAAAAAGCCCAGGACCAGACGGATTCACAGCTGAATACTACCAGAGGTACAAAGAGGAGAGGAGCTGGTACCATTCCTTCTGAAACTATTCCAAACAATAGAAAAAGAGGGAATCCTCCCTAACTCATTTTATGAGGCCAGCATCATCCTGATACCCAAACCTGGCAGAGACACAACAGAAAACGAAAATTTCAGGCCAATATTCCTGATGAACATCGATGTGAAAATCCTCAATAAAATACTGGCAAACCGAATCCAGTAGCACATCAAAAAGTTTATCCACCATGATTAAGTTGGCTTCATCCCTGGGATGCAAAGCTGGTTCACCATATGCAAATCAATAAACGTAATCCATCACATAAACAACCGATGACAAAAACCACATGATTATCTCAATAGATGCAGAAAAGGCCTTCCATAAAATTCAACAGCCCTTCATGCTAAAAACTCTTAATAAACTAGGTACTGATGGAACATATCTCAAAATAATAAGAGCTATTTATGACAAACTCAAAGCCAATATCATACTGAATGAGCAAAAACTGGAAGCATTACCTTTGAAAACAGGCACAAGACAAGGATGCCCTTTCTCACCACTCCTATTCAACATAGTATTGGAAGTTCTGGCCAGGGCAATCAGGCAAAAGAAAGAAATATATTCAAATAGGAAGAAAGGAAGTCAAATTGTCTCTGTTTGCAGATGACAATATTGTATATTTAGAAAACCCCATCGTCTCAGCCCCAAATCTCCTTAAGCTGATAAGCAACTTCAGCAAAGTCTCGGGATACAAAATCAATGTGCAAAAATCACAAGCATTCCTATACACCAGTAACAGACAAACAGAGAGCCAAATCATGAGTGAACTGCCATTCACAATTGCTACAAAGAGAATAAAATACCTAGGAGTAAAACTTACAAGGGATGTATATATCTATATTATTTTGGAAATAATATTTTTGGGTTTTGAAATTTGCCCAGAATACAAACATTTATTTTTGATTTTTATTCTTTTTGAGATGGGGTCTCGCTCTGTTACCCAGCCTGTAATCCAGTGGCTCAAAAATTTATTTTACTTCCTTTACTTATACTAGCAAAAAATACATATTGACAAATCTACACATCATAAGAAAACTGGTAGGCTTTGACCAGTGTCTTCCCACAATTAGTAACTTTCCATAAATAGTTACTTGTAAGATTCAGAGACTATATTATATTACATTGTTGAAATGATGAAACTTTTTATAACTCCAATTCATGAAGTATCTACTTCTATGCTCTTCTATGTATTTGTAAAAGCATCATTATTTCTTATCTAAAACTAATGGCAACTTTCAAAGATAATAAATATCCATAAAATATAAAATATCATTTTTAAATGGGATTTTCAATATCTGATGTTTATCAATATGCTATTAATGAAATAGTGATTGCTATTATTCATTACGAGAGTCCCAAACTTAGAACAAGAAGGTATAATAACCTTATGCATTGCTTATCTTTAAATGAATTATCTCACTCACAGTACCAATAACCTGGTTTCTAGTTATTACTTTCCTAGGATGAGCAAGCCCTAGGTGATCATCAAAGGCCATTGCAGTGCTAAATTGAGGAAGAGATTTCACATACTGGTCTTTTCATTTGTTAGCTGACTTCCTCATGAAACCTGGTGTCATTCTCCAGTGTCTCTCCAGAAATTAATTCCACATGATTGGAAATTCATCAGCATTTTGCATTAGCTGGGGCATGCCCAAGAATGTTAACTATGAAAATATGTATTACCTTTTTAAATTTAAATCGCTAATCTTTCCCTTTGGTAAAGTGAATACTGACTTGGCGGAATTCTCTTCTAGGGAACCTTAAAGGGTATTGGAGATGTATACGGAACTCAGAAGTTGCTATTGCATCCTAGGAAGGTCAAATAAACTGAAGATAATAGGCTCATGACTCTAGCATTGAGTATAAGGCAGTGTCTTGAATGAAGATATTTTTGTTCACATGATTAAGTGGTCTTATACAACAATATAGCCACATGCATAATGAGTCTTTGAGTTACAAAAATGTTTGTTTCTTCTCTGCTTGTTTGTTTTGATTTGTTTTTCAAATTACGTCTTCTGGAAACATCACAAATATGGTTTAGAAAAGTGTTAGTGTGTAATTTTTAAAAACTTTGCATAGTCTATAACATGAGTTGAGTTTAGAAATGTCTTAAATATTTGAAGATGGGAAATATTATAATTTATCTCATTTATCACCATGACAAAACATTCATGAATTCTCAGAAATGAAAATAAAATGTTCAAAAAAAATTACAAAACAGCAGAGTATAACAGAGAGAGCGATGATAATATACAAATTAATTTTGCTTGTAAAATAGGAAGGATACATATTTTCCTCAGACTTTTTTTACATGAAAAAGCATCAGACATTTATGAGAAAAAATTTATGAAGATAATACTTCTTTGATAATGATAAACAGCACTAATATTTCCTTTAAATGCTACTTTAGCTAATGATACAAAAACAAATGTTTTATTAACATATTTTGTTCTGACATACATGACTTGCTTTACATGATATATGACTATATAAAGGAATAAGCCACATTTTAAGAGACATTTATTATGTTTCAAAAATAAGCATCGAATATCACGTGAAGATGGAGACTGATTTAGAACTGACTAACAGTCTAGCACAGACAAAATACTTATTTTGGCTGTACAACTTTCAAAGTATATGAAATAAGATTTGACATTAGATATTTCATAAATTTAAAAGACTTCAAGAATGTTTTACAGACAAGGGAAATGGTTTTGCCTTTTGTTTTGCACATGTAATTTAGATATTTAATAGTGCATTAGTATATTAAGTATTTATATGGAAACATTCACTAATTTTTAATGCAATTTAATAGATTTAAAATCCTTTTGTTAATTATAGCAATAGAGCTGAAATGATTTCAGAATATAGTAAAGATAGCTTTATTTGTACAAAAAGAGTATTTTCTAATATTAAAACATATTTGTGTCTTTAACTGACTTAATGGCATAAGAAACTACATCTACTACACTAATATGTAAAATTGAAACACAGTAAAAAAATCTCTAATCAATCCTGTTGTGATAAATTCTTACACAAAGGAATTACACACATCTCTTTCCCTCTCTCTCTCTCTCTCTCTGTCTCTCTCTCTCTCGGAGAAGCTGGGGAAACTTTGCTCTTCTCAGTAAAGCACACATACATCAAGATACTCTTCTTTCTTATATGTTTAGATTATGGTGATGAGTAATGTAATTCCAAAAATTATGTATTTTCCAAATTGCTTTCTTATTCAAAAGCCAAATACCAGTTCTCTTCAACACAGTTTTAACTGAAGTATGATTGAAATCTTTTAAATAGGGTGATACTTGTTTTATGCTGACTTGTTTGAATCTAATGTATTACAATTGTAAATCAAGAAATAAAAGCATGGAAAATAGGAATTATACTTGTCTTTCTTTACTTATCTATAATACTTTTTTTCTCTTTAGACTTTTTTTTTCACCAGCTAAGCTTTATGACCTATTTATTTCAAAATAGCATAAGAGAATATTATGTAAGTCATGCCCTCTTTCGATGCCTGTTATTAACTGAGTACATAGTAGTCAGCTATGTTGTTGTACACAAGCCACAAATTATACTTTGTTTGAGAAATGGCATAAAATATCATATCTTTCAAGGATGTTACTTGTAAAGAGAGGTTCTGCCCATGCATTCAAGGTAGAAAATTGTCCTCTTTTTTGTCAGGTTTGTTGAAGATCAGATAATTGTAGTGTACAGTGTTATTTCTGGGTTCTCTATTCTGTTCCATTGTTCTATGTGTCTGTTTTTGTACCAGTACCATGCTGTTTTGGTTGCTGTAGCCCTTGTAGTACAGTTTGAAGTCAAGTAATGTGATGCCTCCAGCTTTGTTCTTTTTGCTTAGGATTGCCTTGGCTATTTGGTTTCATTTCTGGTTCCATATGACTTTTGAAATAGTTGTTTCTAGTTCTGTGAAGAATGTCAATGGTAGTTTAATGGGAATAGCATTTAATCCATAAACTGCTTTGGGCAGTATGGACATTTTCACGATATTGATTCTTCCCATCCACGAACATGGAATGTTTTTTCATTTCTTTGTGTCCACTCTGATTTCTTTGAGCAGTAGTTTGCAGTTCCCTTTATAGAGATCGTTAGGTAATAGAATTTTGAATATGTTTTTAAGGAGTTTGAATCAATCAAGAACTATTTGATATACTTTTGGCAAAGCTTTTTTTTTTTTTTTTTAGACAGAGTCTCGCTTGGTCACCCAGGCTGGAGTGCAGTGGCGTGATCTCGGCTGACTGCAAGCTCTGCCTCCTGGATTCATGGCATTCTCCTGCCTCAGCCTCCCATGTAGCTGGGATTACAGGCGCCCGCCACCACGCCTGGCTAATTTTTTTGTATTTTTAGTAGAGACGGGGTTTCACCGTGTTGGCCAGGACGGTCTCAATCTCCTGACCTCGTGATCTGCCCGCCTCAAAAAGTTATCTCTTTAAACAGGCTTAGCACTATTTTTTAAATTTTCTTTTAAAATCTAAGTCACCGAAATAATTTTAAATACATAACCAATACATATATATAATATGTGTAATATAACATATTTAATACCTTATACATATAGTCTTATATATATAAACTAAACACTTGGATTGAAAGAAAACATTCTGAATATAAGCTCCATGATTGTGCATTATATGGATTAACTCTTTGTTTTTATAGGCTTGAATTGTAAAAATAAATTTACACAAAATGCAAATAAAGTTTATTATCTATACTAGGTTCATTGAAGTTAGAGTCTAGCTCACCTCAATCAATAATGCCTGAACATACACCTAGACGGATCGATGAATATATATATTGCACACAGATAAAAGTGAGCAGCAATGGTCACTTGAGGTTATAAACATTAAAAGTCGTATAAAAGTGTGTATCTTTGAAAAGTTACATCATATATTTTGATCACACTTCTACTGGAAAACTATCTCATTTAAAATATAAGTCTATGATAATCCAGGTTGACCTTGCAGATTCAGATTGACCTAGGTTTTAACTGTACCTATAGTTTCTCTAAAGATTAGTTACTATTTAATTAGTACAGCACAAACCAAGGTATCTATTTAATGCAGTATATAATCGAGTAATTTATCTTCACTTTTAGCATATATCACATTTTAATCACAGAGACATTTGACCATGAAAATTCAAAATTTTATGAGCATAACATATAACATCCTTTTCAACATAACACATATTCCAGCAGAGTTAAGTGGAAGCCTCCTGTTTCTTTCTAATGGAATCTTCGTGGATATGTAGTATTCTAAACACTTGTAGAGCCAATAAACTTTTTGAGCGTTTAAGGAGAACAGGGTGTATTATTACCAAATATAACAAGCTTCAAAATGACAGAAGTTGTAGTTGAGAATTTATTTTTATTTCAGGTAAATTTAGTCCTATAAAACTTAAAAATTATACATGGTGCGGCTGTGGTAAAAGCAGTCAAGGCATAAATATACTTTTTACAAACGGTGTCATGAACTATTGGGCCAATTGTAATCGCAACGCAGCACATTGTCATTTCCCTAGGAATAGCACCTCTATTTTGCCCCAGATAATATGATCTACTTTTTATTAGGTTTCTTGTGGGTTGGGTAATTTCTTTAGTGTAGTTTCTTCTTTTTCCACTCTCAAATAGATCCCGATTTATATAGCAAAACATATAATCTCCCTGCCCATAGACAAGAAAATCATTACGTATTTGTGCATATTTTCATTCAGTACGTAACACAATGCCCTGGGTATTATCGTATTAAGAAAATACTATTTGAAGATTTCAGATTATGTAGATAAAAGTCACAGAGCAATTGCAAGTGTCATAGTTGATATTTAAACACTCAAAACTTTTTTTTTTTTTTTTTTTTTGAGACGGAGTCTCGCTCTGTCGCCCAGGCTGGAGTGCAGTGGCGCGATCTGGGCTCACTGCAAGCTCCGCCTCCCAGGTTCCCGCCATTCTCCTGCCTCAGCCTCCGGAGTAGCTGGGACTGCAGGCGCCCGCCGCTAATTTTTTGTATTTTTAGTAGAGACGAGGTTTCACCGTGTTAGCCAGGATGGTCTCGATCTCCTGACCTCGTGATCCGCCCACCTTGGCCTCCCAAAGTGCTGGGATTACAGGCATGAGCCACTGCGCCCAGCCAACACACAAAACTTTTTTTATGCTACATAGCATTTCCAGGTATGTTAAGTTTATTTAGAGTTTTCAGTTGTCACATAGGATCAACAAAAATGCATGCTTTAAGCTGCCATGTGATATATGCTAACATAAACATATTTTAAAAACTTTTCTTGAGGAAGTAAATTATTCAATAAATGGCCTTCACTGAGTGTCAAAAATAATTTCATTCCAACCTTCTTCTATTCAATAAGTAGAGGCCTACTATGTGCTAGGCAGTGGAATATAAGGGAAGATTTACTTTTCTCTCAATGAATTTACAGTTTAGGGTGACTAAAAAAACAACCTGCCATGAATATAATAAGTGTGATAAATGCCAAGTCAGAAATATACACAGGAAATATAGGAGTATTTGAGGAACTTTAGCCAAGTCGTGGGTTATTAAGGTGTAAGCTCTGAAAGATGAATCCTAAAAAGCAAAGGACTTATGTATATAAAGGTGGGAGAGGAGCCATTCTCAAAAGAGATAAATGAAAATAATTTGCCACATTTAAGGAACATCAAGGAGTTTATGCTGTCTGGAATCCAGAATTTGAGGGAAGGTATGACTTGCCATGAAGACGCAGTGGCGCTTTGGGAAAAAAAGAAGAAAAAGGAGATAGCAATACCATTACAATAGGGACTGTTTCTTATCTTGTCCTAATACTCTCACTAGGAAGTCAAAAGAATTTATCTGATAAAGGTTTTAAATACTCAACTTTATATAAATATATGGATTGGTTATCAAGTAGGAGGCAGTGTCTAGTACAATATTTCTCAACCTGAGGGAATTTTGTCTCCCAGGGAAATTTTGACAATTGTTATAAATTGATTGTTGAGTAGAGTTGAAAGAGCACTAAAAAAATCCCTTTTCCAATGGATGGTCTATATATTAATTCAAAAGCAATGTATTGATAACGCAGTATAGAACAGCTACTAGAGATAAGAGAAGCAATAAGCAAAACAAAGCCTTGAGAAATGTACTAAAATAGGGGACAAAGACAATAAATAATTACAAGACAGCTGTTGAATACTGAATATCAGTTACCCAACATCTTTTCTTCCCTTTCTCTTTCCCAGTAGAACCACAATTTTTATTATCTGCTCCTTTTATTATGTGCTCCTTAATCCAGTGCTTCTCAACTGGGAGATTGGTCCCCAGGGGACATTTGTCAATATCGAGAGCCATTGATTGTCATAATTAGTGGCATCTAATGGGCAGAGGACAGCATCCAAAAATGCAGAGTAACTTCCCTACAGTAAAAAATTTACTTGATCCAAAATATCAATAGTGCTGAGGTTGAGAAGCCCTGCTCTGGTGGTTAAGGGTATGAGTTGTCTGGTTTTGATTCTCAGCTCTACGCATCCTGCCTGAATGACCTAGACAGATTTCTTTTTGTTGTTGTGGTTTTGTTTTTGTTTTGAGACAGAGTCTCACTCTGTCACCCAAGCTGGAGTGCTGTGGCGCGATCTCGGCTCACTGCAACCTCCGCCTCCTGGGTTCAAGCAGTTCTGCCTCAGCCTCCCAAGTAGCTGGGATTACAGGTGCCCGCCACCACACCTAGCTAATTTTTGTATTTTTAGTAGAGGCAGGGTTTCACCATGTTGGTTAGGCTGGTCTTGAACTCCTGACCTCAGGTGATCTGCCCGTGTTGGCCTCCCAAAGTGCTGGGATTACAGGTGTGAGCCACCGCACCCAGCCTAGATTTCTTAACAATATACTTAATCTTTTAGTTGTTCAGTTTCTTCATATAAAAACGATTAAGTATTATTAATATAAATATTTTTGATATTTAATATGTGTTTAATATACAATATTAATACTTAAATTCATATAATTTTTTTAAATATTTCACATAATTGTTGTAAGGGCTAAATATGCTCACACATAAATTACCAAGACCAGCAACTGGCATAGAGAAAGTACTCAAAGAACGTTAGCTCTCATTAAGTTCTTACTAAGATCTTCAAGGATTAAGAAGTTAGACTGTTTTTAAAAACTGGATGAAGTTTGGCCAAAATGTGAAGTACCATTGACAATTCAACTATTCTCATTTCCTTTTTTGGGGGCACTCAGCAATATACTTGCCTACATTTGAAATTTCCCATTTGTTGTTACTCTATGTATCTATTTTCTTCTAGACTATATTAGGTTTAGAAAAAAAATTACTCTTATAGTACTTAAGTTTGCAAACGCAATAGAAGTCAACTAATTTGGACATTAAAAATTCTGAATTTGGCCAAAATTTATTTTTCTCAATGTGGAAAAAAAGTTTGCTACACATTCAAGATATTACAGGAGTTCTCAGGAGTTTAAAAAAAAACTGCTAAAGCTCTTAAAATTGTATTCATACAAAATAATATTTGAATACAGATACTTCATCTACTTTATTACATTAAAGAAAAAATATTTAAAGACCTCTTGAAAAAATAGCTGCATTCTTATTCTTCAATAATTCATTATTTTATAAAGGTATTTTTCTGCATTGTATATGAAATAGTGAATCTTTGCTTTACTTAACAAAACTGTAAACAGAAACTAAATATATATTCTTTATTACCAAATTCCAAAACAAATTTTTTTAAAAAGTTACCATGTGCAGCCAGATTTTAAATAGAATTATTGATATTCTTATTTGGACATTGAAACTAGTATAATTTTAAATTAGGATTCAGAAACGATCACAATTAGAAAATATTAAGGGAATTTATTTCTAAATATTTATCTGTGTGTTTGTTTCCTATGGAGTATCATCATATTGTCCAGGAAATTTATTTTTAGGAATTTATTTCTAAAAATTTATCTGTGTGTTTGTTTCCTATGGAGTATCATCATATTGTCCAGGAAATTTATTTTTAGAAATAACACCAAGTTACATTTACAAATTGAATTTGCCATTACTCTTGTAGGGTAGATGAAAGCAATTGAATGGAAATTCTTTTTGTAGTGAAGCATAAACTTCAAGAACGAAGAAAGGATCTGTGTGGAGTATCAACTTATTATTTTCATCACTCTGAACCAGAATCATTTTCTTTGCAAATTCAAAAGTTCGTATTACACATAAACAAATATACAATGAACATACATATATAAACAATGTTATCAAATCAATGCCTTTTTTTAAGGAACTGCTGTCCTGCTTTCCTATTTTGTCCCTCCTCTTTTTTGATTTTGATTTTCTGTTACATTTTTTCTTATCTTCAAAACAGCACCACTCTGCACCTCCACTCCTATTAGCAACCTGTTAACCACCTAGTATGGACTCTTCTCTATTTTCTTCATGCTTATATAATTTTACATAGATTTTTATAAATGTGTGCATACATACACATACATATTCAAAGAGCTTGGGGCCCATTAGTGACTTTACAAAATTGTAATCATATTAATACTCTTCTGTACCTTGCTTTTTCATCTGCAAGAACTTCTTAGTTAACTCTTTGAGACTACTTTTTATAGATCCTGTTTGTTGTTTTTAATGGGTGCATAATATTTGTGCAATACACAGACTCTAGTTTATTTAACCTGTTCTCATAGATTATCATTTAATCTGTCCTCAGTTTGATTGGTTTCTTTGATGACACCAACATAACATATGTATTTGTTCTTGCCCGATGTTTTGTTTTCTCTGACATAGCAACCCAGGATTACAGTGAAATTGAACCCAGAGTTATATAGAAGAGATGCTTATGAATAAAACACAAATAATGGCACTGTCCTGTGGAGTGAAAATGCTATACAGCTTATCAGTAATAAGTAATATAAAAATAATTGTGTTCAAAATTGATAAATAACAAATAGTAAAATTTTGAACTTAATTTCAACTTAACTTACTGAGAGACTAGGTAAAATTACTTATTTGCTTTGTGGGTCTATGAAATCTTCTTTCTCAGTTCTTTGTTACCCCAATTCCACTAAAATGCTTTCGTGCAATTTATTTGTCTTTCTTCTTTCAGAATAATCTGCACTGATACTTCCTTTATTTTTTGCAAAAACTCCTCAACCTTTGTTTATACAGTTGTTCAACATTCATATGAGGCATAGACTATTATTAGCTCTATACCGAGGTCTTGCTTTCCTTTAATAGGCTCAGCAAAATACATGACTGGTGACATGTGCTGAAGAAGAGTTGGTTTTTACAGTTTCATCATGCTACTGCTCTATTCTGTGCCTCTTTTACTCACTGCCTGTGTTTGATAATGTAAAGGAAGAGAGTCTCCCCTGCCACCTTTTTGCACAGTGTACTTTTTCCAGACTGAGTCTGAAGTTAACACTTCCTTGGTTGAACACAAACATGGACTCATGCTTCCTGTGTACTCCCATGACACATGCTCCTTGGCTATTTAACTAGTTTATGCTCACGAATTACATTGGCTTCAATTTCATTAACTTTTATAAGGTTTCTATATCTTTCTAATAATTCTGCCTCTCTTGAATGTATTGGATATGAGTAATAAACATTTACTGAATGGGTAGATGTTAAACAGTTGCTTATTCACTCTTTTACATAAGCTTTACCTGAATTCTATACTAAATAGAATAAACCTGTGATGTAGTAAATTAAATGGCAACATTTAAACCTACAATATTTTGGAATTATAAAATAATGTCACAATTAGACACAAATTGAATTATCTTACATTTGGTAAATACAAGTAAAACCCATTAAGAATGCATTTTAAAGTTCAACTAAATGCTGACAATTTTTTCTTACCTTGTTAGAGAAATGATTTATATATTTTATCTAAGGATGTAGAATATTTAGAATTATTTAGTATTATTCATAGATTTCAGGCTTTATAAATCTTTAACTAGGGCCTTTCTAGAATTTGAAATTAGAAAGCCCAGTAGTTAAGCAATTTCCTAAAAATACTAAAATTGATCATGGGGCAATATTATTGAGCAGTTTAAATTATTTTATTTTAAGCATTGCTGATTTAACCCACAATTTTATTTTCAGTGGACAGGTCAGTATAGGGTACATAGGCACAATAGTAGGTATTCTATCAGTGTTGACTGGAGAGTGAATGAATGGATGCTTTCGTTTTGAAGGCTGGGTCACTTTTTGAAAGTGATTAGAAAGATGTTTTAAGGATCATGAGATATAGCTGCCATCGTCTCTATTCACTGCCTAAAGGCAATGCCAGACAAAATGAAATATACACACTGAATGGTATTGTTCAACTGTTAAGGTCAATTTATTTCTTAAACATGCAAGTAATCTGCCATTTTTTGTTCTTGTGGGCAGACACAGAGGAGTATCACAGACAAATCAGAGATTGCTTCAAAAGAAGGGGTTTCTTTATGTCTTCCGTGAATTTTTGTGGGGCATTTGTGGTGGGCAGTGGAGAAATCCAATCATAATTCTGCTACCTTATTTGAGCCAGTTTCAGTAGGCAGGCGTTTTTTGTTTTGTTTTGTTTTGTTTTTCTGACAGATAAATAAACCTTTAAACCAGTATAAATTGGGCCAAAAATATTTCACAAAAATTTTGCAAGCCTAAGTGACACATCTTTTTTTGAACATTTATCATTTGAAAACTTCTTGATAGTTGTATTTGTAAATTCTAACATTTCCCCCCAAAGATATAAAATAAACAAGAAATTATTGATTGTTTTGTAAGAATCAGAGGTTTGTATAATCACAAAGAAAAAGTAGACCAAGGATATCACAGACAAGCAAATTTTCTATTTATTTATAAATAATATTTATGAAATTTATGTACTTCTAAAACATAAATATGCAGATCAGGGTTTTCTAAATTGAATTATATTTCTATGTGCTTAAGATTCTTATTATTAGAGGTTAGCCAGGAATCTTTTTATAGTGCTAATTATTTCTTAACATTATCTTTGTTAAAAAGTGAGTGCATTTGTGTACTAGCTATCATTTAAAAAGACAAAACACACCTATGCATTATGTCTTGCACTCACCATAGGATACAATTGTGTTATATACTAGGTGTTAAGTATAATCTCACTATAATCAAATTAACTATTTGCTATGTATCTCCACTGATCTCATTATAACAATAACCTCTTTAGGAACCCATAATTTGAAATCATGTCAGAAGTCTAAAATTGATGGATTCTCCTAAGTCTAGATCTCATATTGTGCAGTGTGACAATCAAACTATACGTTGAAGTAACTTATCTGATATTTAATCCGTTCTTAATTTTCTCTGTAGCAATGTTTCTGGGTCTTTTCCTTGTCTTGCAGAGTACGACTCACCTTTCAGAATATAAAGAAAAAGCAATCACATTCCAACACTTCTGAAAAAGGAGATGATTTTTTCTTGAAACCACATTAAGGTCAAGAAAGAGCACTATTTGACTTTTAGACAACGTTGGTCAAAGCAGTGGTTCAAACTGGTCAATTATGCCCTTTCTGATCCACCTACATTAACAAGGAATAAGTATAACTTTGCAATATAAAGTTGTCTGATATCTTCTATTTTAAAAAATCAAATAAAATTCTAATATAAAAGTTAAGATAGACTAAGATATATAAACCCTAAATATACTGCTAAAAACCTATCATAATTATGAGGACAGGTAGAGAATTTCATATTAAAACAGACTCTGAGGGCTTATTGAAGCATTCATTTTTTTCCTATTGCAAAAGACAGGCAACTGAGAGCTCAGATTTCCAGAAACAACATCCTCCATGACACAAAACTTTAGGACATAAACCTAGAATCAACTTAGGTATTCTTTGGAATATTGGAATTGACCCAGGCCAGAGCAGACTGTGGAAGGATTAAAATCCAAACTTGAGTTACAAAAGTAGGTCTAATAGTTACTCAAGAAAATTATTGAAGGAAATCATTAAATGAAAGTTCAGAAAAAAAATAAAGGTATGTTATTCTCTTTGGTTGGGTCTAGCAAGACTCATTATGCTATTTTTAAATTAATGAATGAAAACAAGCAAATAAACAAATGAAGTAATACTTAGAATTAGGTGTTTAAGAAACCACAGAAGTAAAGAAATAATTCATGGTATAATTTAGACAAAGCTTCTCTATAAAATAAAAGAGGTTCTTCTATCAAAATCTAGAAATCTATCCAAAATTAAAAAAAAATAAGGATTACATGTATTTTGAAAGAAAAAGTAGAGATATAATGCTAAATGTAACAAAAGGGGGCTATTGGAATATGATGAGTTACAGCTTTATTAGTGTCCTTGGTATCTTCCAAGGAGAGTTACGTTCCTAACAATTGATTTCTTTCCTTTAAACTCAAGTTTCTCTATAGTAGAGGCAAGTTGTTTTCAGTTAGGATACCGAAACTCTCAGAAAGTGGTCTACTCATTTTTCTATAACACAGTATTCACTAGGCATCCTCCTAATCTTCATTTATGTATCTGTATAAGCTTACATATTTGGAGTGGACTATGGTGAGCAGTGGCCAAAGTTCTTCTATCCAATTGTAAATTATTACCCTTCTGGCTTGTAAAACAATTTCTTTTAATTATGATCACTGCAACTCAAAGACTGGTTACACTTGGATGCACTGACAAAAAATTAGCATCTAAACCAGCAAAGGTGGGTCGTGGTGAATCTGTAATAGTGTAACTCCCCAGTGACCCTGGCCTAGTGCAGTCAACTGGCCTTACCCATCTCATTTCTATCCAGAGGTCCATGGAGCCTGCAAATTTCAAAACCACACTCTCAGATTGGAGAATGGTACTGAACGCTATCACAAGCTCTAAGCATTTATGGAGCCTGAATCCTATAGAATTAAAAAGCGAAGGGCTTAGTGAGTGAACTGGAGATCGAAGTGAATGGATGAATTAATAAAAATAAATATCTAAGGAGTGTTTCAAAGCACGGATTAATAAAAGCTCTTGGATATCTGTGGGTGGATGGTTTGTGCAAAGATTGAAAAGCATGTTATTGAGAACCAAGTAACAAAGAAAGCTGTCTTAATTGTAACAGAATTCTGTCAAATACCTAAATTACCTAGAGTTTACATATTTCCCCCCTCAATTCCCTGATGAAGGCAACTGACAAAGCCCTACTGAATCACCTTGCTATATTTAAATAGATTTTAAAAGCAAAGTGCTTTATTTTATTTTATGAGATTCTGCACCTGCAACTTCCTTCTACTTATATTCCTGCAAATAAGCAAGTTACTCTTTTTTTTTTTTCTTTTGAGACGGAGTCTCGCTCTGTCGCCCAGGCTGGAGTGCAGTGCCGCGATCTGGGCTCACTGCAAGCTCCGCCTCCCAGATTCACGCCATTCTCCTGCCTCAGCCTCCAGAGTTGCTGGGAGTACAGGCGCCCGCCACTACGCCTGGCTAGTTTTTTTTGTATTTTTAGTAGAGACGGGGTTTCACCATGTTAGAGGATGGTCTCAATCTCCTGACCCCGTGATCCGCCCACCTCGGCCTCCCAAAGTGCTGGGATTACAGGCGTGAGCCACCGCGCCCAGCCGCAAGTTACTATTTTTAACATGAATGACAAGAAATTATGATATGTCTCCTTACAGTTATTGACATTTTTTATATAAAACAAAACAAGATGTTTTATTTTGGGTTACAAAATCTAATTATGAGTGTGACTTATGAAGCGAGAGTGACATGCATCAGAAAAGTACAGGTACGGTTTCTAAGTTAAAGTTATGTGAAGAGTAATATCTATGTTTCCTAGTACTTAGATATAAATCAAAATTAATCTAGTAAAGTTGCTACAATTACACGTCAAATAATATACTAATAGTTAAGAGGTGTTTGCATATGATCATTTAGTGCTATTCAACTGTATATTTTGAGCTTTAACAAATTCTTATATATATATATATGTATATATATATATTTTATTATACTTTAAGTTCTAGGGTACCAAATTCTAATGCCTAAACCAAAACTGTGTGAGACTGTTTTGAAATAAATATTATTTAACAATGACTTTAAAAGATGATTATCTTTTATTCTATTTCTTTAGAGTATGTCCTTCAAAAACATAGCAATATAACAAGAAAATGGCCATCTTCCAAGCATAAGTTAAGGATAAAGTAAGTATAATTAAATGCTTATTGAATCAACATACGCCTTATATTTGAATATTGATTGAGTTTCTCTTTCTTTGTGACTTTGGGAATGTTTTTACTCTCTAGAAGCCAAAGTTCTTTCATCTGACTGTATATAGACTGGATGGAAGGAACAGATAACTTCACAATGTTAAAGCACCTTAAAATTATGACATATATCTCTATATATTTAAATATTTTCATAATGGCGTCCTTAAAATACTTTATATTTTAAAATAAACTTAAATATAACTATTTACTCACCCTGAAAATATAGATTCAAGGAAGCTCTAACCATCTTACTTGTCAACCTGTTGACATCCGATATTGATTTGGAAGATTCAAATAGCTTAGTCAATATCTCCCTCCTCTCTCTTTTACGTACTTCAATCTAAAACTTCTCTCTTATTTGAAATAAGTAGTGTATTTTCTCTAAAAGATGTTTCTTGTACATTCTTTATTTCTAGATTAGTTAGTAGAACTATGCTAAGTCATAATGGACATTTAGCTGTGTCCTGTTTAGAAATGCAATTGACAAGTGTGTAGTCTCTGACCTTGGAACGAAATAAAGGTAGCAATTAGACCCTGCAGGATAAAATCTGTGCTGTTCTCTGTATTGTCATAATGGTCTAAATTGTCATTTAATCAGTGAGTATATGGATATAGAAAGAGGAGCTCTGAAATTTTCAGCAAAAAGACACAGAAAAAGGAAACAAATACCAAATTGCAACTTAGAAAATGGAGATTTTTAGTAAATTTTCTTAAAAGAAGTGAAAAGTGAGATGAACAAAGAGGAGAGCAGTAAGTTTGGGACAGACCTGGTACTGATTTGACACTGCAAATAAATAATTTGTTTTTCCTCTTATGCTGGTGCAGGTAACTTGAGGCTGGTTCGTGATTAAGATGACCAAGATCTGAAAAAACAACAGGGAGTCAAAAGGAAAAGACTTTGTTTGGCATTTCTTATCTAATTCATTTTGTTTTACTTGAAGACTCAGACACAATCAAGTGAGTAGAAAATAAAGTAAATTTTGTGGAGCTAAGCAATACAATCAAAACTAGGGCAGAGCATGAAGCTGAGCCCAGATGTGTAAGAGGGTGAGAATTAGGACATTAGCCAAGCTCAGACCTTTGGATGGAGCTGAGTCTCTAAGTACAGTCAAGTGGTCCCAGCAATACTAAGGGGAAAAGTGCTAGAGCTGTGATTACCTAAGAAAGTTACATTCAACCTGCATCGAAAGCCCTTTAACTTTGAGTAAGGAGTTGTACAGGGTAAGTTCAAAGATCCTTTCACACATATAAAGTACCTATAAACAATAAATAATGTCTTATTTCCTCTAAAACACAACTCTAGATCTGGAAGGTTGTTAAATTTGATCATTTATGATTAGGTATGTATACTGTCTTTGTACATGTAGCAACCCTGTTTGACAAGAGAAAAGACACAGCACTATCATTGAGATTTCATGGATCCAATCTACCCGTAACAGATGCCTGTCTGTATGGCAGAAATGGTGCCCCAAAAATGAGGTCTCATCATGTCTAGTAAATGTGAGCGGATGGACAAAATGAAATGATCTTTCATCTCTGAAATTATGCTACTGCTTAAGCCACATAAAATTGGTTTTTAAATTCTAAAATGTGGGGATCTCACACAATATGACATTGTTTATTCCCGTCCACCTTTCTTACTCTTCCTGAAGTGCTAACACTATGCCATGGAAGAAGATAATTGCGTATCTTTTAGTATCTCCTAATATCCTGTATAAGCTTTTTTTCCCAAGAGAACAGTGACAAAGTACAGTACCAAAAAACTGTGACTTAAAACAAAACAAATGTATTGCCTCATTATAGGAGGATTTAGAGGCTAGAAATCTAAAATCCAGGTGTTGGAGGGGCCATGCTCTTTCTGATGGTTCTAGGAGAAAGATAAGTCAACCCATAAAAGTCTTCAATGTAGTTTTGGCAACTTAAATTGTATGCTGTTTTCCACACTCATGTCTCTCTTTGTAAGAGTTTTCCTGTGAGATTCCAGTATGTTAAAATAACTGTGGTTGAGTTTAGTAAACTGCTGTTCAAAGCATTACATTTTTGAATGCAATGGCTGAACAAATCTCTTTTTCATTTCGTTTGTGAAGGCGCAGAACATAGCCCTTGCTCAGTTGTTCAGTGTGTAGTGTCACCAATACATAAGTTGGCTGAAATAATATATAAGTTACTATTGTTAATGGAAAAAACAAGTTCTGTAAAATATCTTAAAGAGGTTTACTTTGAGTCAATATGAGTGACCATAGCCTGAGGAAAACACAAACCCAAGAATCCTTGAATAAATGGTCCCAAGGTGGACAGGTTACAGTTTAGCTTTATATGTTTCTGGAAGGCAGGAGTTACATGAAAAGACATAAATCAATACACGGAAGGCATAAATTTGTTTGAATCAAAAAGTTGGGATATCTTGAAGCAGCGACTTAGAAGTCATAGGTGGATTTAGAAATTCTTTAATTTGCAGTTGGTTAAAAAATAAGGCTCTATCTAAAACTTGGAGTCAGTAGAAATGTTTAAGTTAAGATAAGGATCGTATATCAGTGTCAAACACAATTTACTGGGCCAAATGACCTGTTTAGCAATATTTATGGCTTGAGGCATTACTTAACCCTTGCCTTGCATGGCCTTAGGTTTTATTTATAATTTGTTATCTTATTGCCACCAATATGGTTTGATTGTGTTCCCACCCAACATCTTGAATTGCAGTTCCCATAATTTTCATATGTGATGGGAGGGACACAGTGGGAGGTAATTGAATTGTGGAGGCAGTTTCCCCCAGGCTATTCTTGTGATCGTAAGTTCTCACAAAATCTGATGGTTTTATAAGGGGCTTTCCCTTTTGCCTGGCTCTCATTCTTCTCCTTCCTACCACCATGTGAAGAAGAATGTGTTTGCTTCCCCTTCTGCCATGATTGTAAGTTTCCAGAGGCCTTCCCAGCCCTGAGGAACTGTGAGTCAATTGAACCTTTTCCTTTATAATTTACCTAGTCTCAGGCAATTCCTTATAGCAGTGTGAGAATGGACTAATACAGTAAACTGGTACCAGTGAAGTGCTGCTATAAAGATACTGAAAATGTGGAAGTGATTTTGGAACTTGGTAACAGGCAGAGGTTGGAATAGTCTGGAGGGCTCAGTAGAATAAAGGAAGATACGGGAAAGTATGGAACTTCCTAGAGACTTGTTGAATGGCTTTGACCAAAATGCTGATAATGATATGGACAATGAAGTCCAGGCTTAGGTGGTCTCAGAAGGAGATGAGGAACTTGTTGGAAACTGGAGAAAATGTGACTCTTGCTATGTTTTAGCAAAGAGACTGGCAGCATTTTGCCTCTTCCCTAGAGATCTATGGAACTTTGAATTTGAGAGGAATTATTTGGGGTATCCAGTGGAAGAACTTTCTAAGTGGCAAAGCATTCAAGAGAAACCACAGCATAAAGGTTTGGAAAATTTTCAGCCTGACAATGTGATAGAAAAGAAAAACCCATTTTCTGGGGTGAAATTCAAGCCAGCTGCAAGAAATTTGAATTAGGAATGAGAAGCCAAATGTTAATCACCAAGACAATGGGGAAAAAGTCTCCAGGGCATGTCAGAGACCTTCACAGAAGTTCCTCCCATCACAGGTCTGAAAGCCTAAGAAGGAAAAATGGTTTCCTGGGCCCAGCACAGGATTCCCCTGTTCTGTGCAGCCTCAGGACATAGGGCCCTGCATCCCAGTTGCTTCAACTCCAGCTGTGGCTAAAAGGGGCCAAGGTACAGCTCAGGCCATTACTACATAGGATGCAGTCCCCAAGCGTTGGTGGCTTCCATGTGGTGTTGAGCCTGTGCAGGCACAGAAGTCAAGAATTGAGGTTTGGAAACCTCTGCCTAGATTTCAGAAGATATATGGAAATGCCTGGAAGTCCAGGCAGAAGTCTGCTGCAGGGGTGTAGCCCTCATGGAGAATCTCGCTAGTGCAGGCAGAAGGGAAATGTGGGGTTGAGGTCCCCACACAGAGTCCCCACTAGAGCACTGCTTTGTGGAGCTGTGAGAAGAGGGCTACTGTCCTCCACATCCGAGAATGGTAGAGCCACTGACAGCTTACAGTGTGCACCTGGAGAAGCCACAGGCACTCAACAGCAGCCTGTGAAAGCAGCTGAGAGGGGGACTGTACCCTGCAAAGCCACAGGTGCAGAGTTGCCCAAGGCCATGGGAGCCCACCTCTTGCATCAGCGTGACCTGGATTTGAGACATGGAGTCAAAGGAGATCATTTTGGAACTTTAATGTTTAATGACTGCCCTATTGGATTTCAGACTTGTATGGGATCTGTAGACCCTTTGTTTTAACCAATTCCTCCTATTTGGAATGGGTGTATTTACCCAATACCTGTACCTCCATTTTATCTAGGAAGTTACTGACTTGCTTTTGATTTTACAGGCTCAAAGGCAGAAGGGACTTGCCTTGTCTCAGATGAGACTTTTGACTTGGAATTTGGGTTAATGCTAAGCTAAGACTTTGGAGGATTGTTGGAAAGGCATGATTGTGTTTTGAAATGTGAGGACATGAGATTTGGGAGGAGCCAGGGGCAGAATGATATAGTTTGGCTTTGTCTCCACCCATATGTCATCTTGAATCCCCACGTGTGGTGAGAAGGGCCTGGTGGGAGGTAATTGAATCATGTGGGTGATTTTCCCCATGCTATTCTTGTGATAGTGACTAATTTCTCACAAGATCTGATTGTCTTATAAGGGGCTTTCCCCTTCTTCTCCCTCCTGCCACAATGTGAAGAAGGACGTGTTTTCTTCCCCTTCTACCATGATTGTAAGTTTCCTGAGGCCTCCACAGCATTGTAGAACTGTGAGTCAATTAAACCTCTTTCCTTTATAATTTACCCAGTCTTGGGCAGTTCTTTATAGTGCCATGAGAACAGTATAATGCAGCCACAGAGAGTCTATTTTGTCCGTCTAAAGTTCTCTATTTTAACTTTAATGTTGGTCAGTTGTTGTGTATGTACTCCAAAAGAGAGGGGGTATAATGAGGCTAATCTGAATGCCCTTCAGGATATGGCCAGGAATTCAGTTTTTAAGTTTCACTCAGGTCTCCTTGGCTAAGAGGGAGCTGGTTCAGTTGGTAGGGGTCTGAGAATTTTATTTTTGGTTTACACCACTTATGGTAAAATAAAAAAGGAGACAGATTGGGAAAGAGGCTTTTGCAGGGAGTTACCCTGCTGGTCTGATCTTCTTACTATGCTGCTGTTCAGACAGATTTTCTTCTTCCTTCTTGTCAATTTGCCAACTTTGCTCAAAAAGGAAGTTTGATCTGACTTTTAACGTTACTATGAAAAGAACTTTGTTTTATATTACAGAAAAAATTGCTCTAATATTAAAAGATTAATCCCTTTTGCCTCTAAACATATGATTAACCATAAATTATCACACTAGACCTGATCACGTCTTTCAAAAGCCTATTAAAAAACAAATTAACCTTTTCTCTCTAGGCTGAACTCCCTTGTTAATATGAAAATCAGGAGTAATTCAGGGCTCTTAGCTTTTGTTATCCCAGCCATATTCCTTTGTGTTTTTCAAGTTGAGTTGTGACTGGAGAGTGAGTCATACCAGCTTAATTAATTTAGTTAAGAACCAATTAAAAGCAGCATTTTGTGCATGAGAAAGCTTGCCTGTAATGTTTTGAATTTCGACAGGAGTTTCCTCATTATTCCACCTTCTATATATATGGCTTGTACCTTAGTGGAAGAAAGGAAAAGATACTTCCTTACTGAGTAAGATATTTCTTAATTTGTCATCGTAAGTGAATTCATATGAGTTTTCAGTTTTAAGGAAGGCACAATTTACATTTAGTCTCATAAATATATACCATACAACAAAAATATTACCAAGGTTTCTTATTGTTATAGCAGTTTGTCTAGGTTTATGAATAAGTAACTCATACATTGTCTTTCTCCAGTAAACTAAATGATATAAACCAGCACTACAGAAAGAAGATTAAATGGAGGTCCATTCTTTCTGTATCTTTCCCACCCCATTAATTTGGAATGAAACAATATGACATAGTGTAATTTAAAAGTACTGTGGTCTAAAAGTAGTGGGGTCTTCAGATGCTTGCCTTCTGGAAGCAGATGTTATTTAGACAAAGCACTGGCACATAAGTCTCTTTATCAAGTTCTGTAGGTCCCTGTATGTTACATGTACTTGTGTATGGGTAAATCTGGCACATGGATAGTATTTACTAGGAAAGAGTGAGAGAAGTATCAGAATTGGCTTATCTAAGGCAGATGTCAGCAAATGTTTTCTGTAAAGGGAAAGATAGTAAGTAGTTTAGGCTTTGAGGACCAGAAGTTCCTGTTTCTGGTCTCTGTTACAACCAATTAACTCTGCAGTAGTAACATGACAATAGCTATTGACGATACATAAACTAATGGACAAGATTGTGCTGCAATAAAACATTATTTACATAACAGAACAAATACTGAATTTGGCCTAGAGGCTATGGCTCGCCAACCCCTGATGTAGTATATGGTGATGGCACTGACACTTATTGGGTAGGCAAGACATTTACCAATCTGGGGCTCAGTTTCCTCATCCTAAAATGAGGACGTTAGATTAAGAAAGGCAGAAGCGTGTTTTAGTTCACACAGAGAGTTGGTTTCTAAAAAATATCCCCAGGCATAGCTACAGGATCAGGCAGGTGATTCTTCAATATCCTCCTTTTAAAAATCTTAATTAGAGATAATATAAGAACTTCTTTCTTTGCATATGGTTGTTTTCTAAAGATAGAGAACTGAGAGCTATTTTGACTGTTAGTCTGTTTTGCATTGCTATAAAAAAAAACACACCTGAGCCTGTGTCATTTATTTAAAAAAAAAAGGTTTATTTGGCTCACAGTTCTGCAGGCTGTGCAATAAGCATAATACCAGCATCTGCTTATGGTAAAGGACTCAAGAAGCTTTCACTCATGGTGAAATGTGAAGGACAGGCATGTCATATGGCAAGAGAGGCAGCAAGGGAGAGAGGAGGAGGTACCAGGGTCCTTTAAACAGCCAGCTCTCATGTGACCTAACAGAATGAGAACTTAGTCATTACCATGGGGAGGGCACCAAGCCATCCATGAGGGATTCTAACCCATGACTGAAGCACCTCCCACCAGGCCCCACCTGAACATTGGGGATTACATTTCAACATGAGATTTGGAGAGGACACACATCCAAATCATACCATTCCACCTCTGGCCCCCCAAATCTCATGTCCTAACATTGCAAAATATAATTATCTCTTCTCAATAGTTCCCCAAAGTCTTTTTTTTTTCTTTGAGACACAGTATCGCTCTGTCACTCAGGCTGGAGTGCAATGGCATAATCTTAGGCTCACTGCAACCTCCACCTCCTGAGTTCAAGTGATTCTCCTGCCTCAGCCTCCTAAGTAGCTGGGATTACAGGCATGCACCACCACACCTGGCTAATTTTTGTATTTTCAGTAAAGACGAGGTTTCACCATGTTGGTCAGGCTGGTCTCAAACTCCTGACCTCATGATCCTCCCACCTTGGCCTCCCAAAGTGCTGGGATTACAGGCGTGAGCCACTGTGCCCAGACCCAAAGTCTTAACTTCTTACAGCATTAACTAAAAAATCAAAAGTCTCATTTGTCTCATTTGAGACTCAAGGCATGTTTCTTCTACCTATGAACCTATAAGATTAAAAAAACAAGTATTTACTTCCAAGATACAGTAGTGGTACCAGTATTGGGTAAAAATTCCCATTCCAAAAGGCAGAAATCAGCCAAAAGACAGGGGCAATAGGCCACATGCAAGTCCAAAACCCAGCAGGACATGCATTAAACCTTAAAGCTCTGAAATAATCCTTGACTCCATGTCTCATATCCTTGGTATATTGGTGTAAGGGGTGGGCTCTCAAGACCTTAGGCAGCTCTGCCCCTGTGGCTTTTACAGTGTATATTCCCCATGGCTGCTTGCAAAGGTTGGAGCTGAGTGCCTTTAGCTTTTCCAGGCTCAGGATACAAGCTGCCATTTTCTCCACTGTTCTGGAGCCTGGAGGGCAGTGGCTACCTTCCCATAGCTCCACTAGGCAGTGCCCTGATGGGGACTCTTTGTGGGTTCTTCAACTTTACATCTTCCCTCAGCACTGCCTTAGTAGAAGTAGAAGCTCTATGATAGGGTTTCCTCCCTGCAGCAGGCTTTTGCCTGGGCACCCAGGTTTTCCCATACATCCTCTGAAATCCAGCTAGAAGCTGCCAAGCCTCCTTCACTCATGCATTCTGCACACCTGTAGGGTTAACACCACATGGAAGCAGCCAAGGGTTATGGTGACCTTAAGAATGGAAGCCTGAGCTATGTCTGTGGCCCTTTGAGCTGAGGCTGGAGTTGGAGTGGTCTTGATGCAGGGAACAGTGTCCTGAAGCTGTGTATAGCAACAGGGCGTTGGTCTTGGCCCCCATAATGACTTTTTCCTTCTCAGCCTCTGAGCCTGTAATAGAAGGGGCTGCCTCAAACATCCCTGAAATGTCTTCAAAGTCTTTTCTCTATTGCCTTGGCTATTAGTACTTGGCTCATTTTTAGTCATGCTAACCAGTATAGGAAGTGGTCGCCCTGCAGCCCTCTTGTATTCCTTTCCTGAAAATGCTTTTTTCTTTTCTATCACATGGCCAGGCTGCAGATTTTACAAACTTGTACACTCTGCTTCCCTTTTAAATATCAGTTTCAATGTTAGGTCATTTCTTTGTGCCTACATCTGATTATAAGTTGTTAGAAACAGCCACACTACTTCTTGAATGCTTTGCTACTTAGAACTTTTTTTCTGCCAGGTACCCCAGGTCATCACTCCTTTTTTTTTTTTTCTTTTTTTTGAGACAGAGTCTCGCACTGTTGCCCAGGCTGGAGTGCAGTGGCATGATCTCGGCTCACTGCAAGCCCTGCCTTCTGGATTCACGCCATTCTCCTGCCTCAGCCTCCTGAGTAGCTGGGACTATAGGCGCTCACCACCAAACCTGGCTAATTTTTTGTATTTTTAGTGAGACGAGCTTTCACTGTATTAGCCAGGATGGTCTTGATCTCCTGACCTCGTGATCCGCCTGCCTCAGCAGTCTTCCATACATCTTTAGGTCATGGACACAATGCAGTGAAGTTCTTTGCTAAGGTTTAAGAAGGGTGACCTTTGCATCAGTTCCCAATAAATCCCTCATTTCCATCTGCAACCTTGTTAGCCTGGCCTTCACTGTTCATATTTCTATCAGCATTTTAGTCAAAAGCATTTAACCAGTCTCTAAGAAGTTCCTAACATTCCCTCACCTTCCTGTCTTCTTCTGACCCCTCCAAACTCCATCTAACCTCTACTCATTACCCAGTTCTAAAGTTGGTTCTGCATTTTCAATTCAATTATAGCAGTGTCCCACAATTCAGTACCAATTTTCTGTGTTAGTCTGTTTTGTGTTGCTATAAAAAAAATACCTGAGGCTGAGTAACTTATAAACAAAAGAGTTTTATGTGGCTCATGGTTCTTCAGGCTGTACAAGAGGCATAGTGCCAGCATCTGCTTCTTTTTAGGGCCTCAGGAAGCTCCCACTCATGACAAAAGGTGAAGGGAGAGCGGGCATATCAATCTCATGGTGAGAAAGGGAGCAAGAGAGAGGGGAGGAAGTACCAGCCTCCATTAAACAATGGACTGAACTATCAGAATGAGAAACTCAGTCATTACCATGGGGAGGACACAAAGCCATTCACGTGGGATCTGCCCCTGTGACCCAAACATATCCCACCAGACCTCACCTCCACCACTGAGGATCACATATCAACATGAGATTTGGAGGAGACATACATCCAAACCATATCAATGACATTAATTATATGGTCTCTGGAAACTACTCTGTTAAAGGAAGAAGTTAAATATAACACTAGAAAAATTTTGAAGAACCATATGCTTTTGAGTTAGAAATGGACTTTTTAAACTTACAGAAGAGAATTTGAATATTAGAGGCACAAATGCTGGTAGAAAACCACAAGACTAGAAGACATAAATGCTGGTAGAAAAAACTGGATTCCATGAAAGCTTTTTTTTTTTTTGAGAGTATAAAACTTCACTGGAAAAATTATCTCTGCTGGAATACCTCATTACCCAGCAATGTAGAATAAATGGGGCATTGCTCACTATTGATTTGCCTCCATAGCCTCTGTAACTAAATGTGGCCTAAGGCAGTTCTGCAAACAGGAGGATTCCTGAATATTTAATTGTTGCTTGAATAATTTTTCATTATCATTACTCAGGGATCAGAGTTTCTTCTTATACTTGATATTACTTTAGTAAATGTACACACTGAGAGTAATTCTACTGCAGTTTGACTTGAAACTATAAGTATACAAGTAATCAGTTCTCAAAAAATAAACTTGATTTAAGTTTTTAAGTGCATATATTTCATTCATTTTTAGTGTCCCTTTTCACCATTACTTTGAACAGTATCCTTAATGAAGTTCCCTCTCATATCTCTGAATAACTATGATTCTATATACTATATCTGCAGGTCTCCACATGAGATGGAACTATTTTCAATTAGATTATTTAAATATTGGTTCTACTGGAGTCCATGCATAGAATTCTTTTACCCTAGGCTTTTAGTTTTCCTTAAACATAAGACTTGCTATTAAAATGCTTTCAAGGAACATGAGAGTTAGTTATATAATTTGATTTATTGAATTATCCTTGTCAAAGTTGCATATGTAAAAACAAGTCAAAATTTGGTTATTACAGACTTTTCCAGATGAATAAACACTGCATGATGTTTTTATGTCACACTATAAGGAGATACAGAGAATAACTTAATTACATGAATACCCAGTGGCATGCATTTTGGATAAGTTTTTGTGTGACTAAATTCCATGAGCCACAAAGTCTAGTTCACTTTCCCCATTCCCTATTATAAAATTTAATGTTATTGCCACTTTGTCGGATAACTGTCTTAGCCAAATGCAAATTCCTACTCTACCAAAAGAATTTCCTCATTGTAACTATTAGTTATCTTGCTGAAGTCTTCTGTCTGTGAGCACTTTAACTGATAATGCTTGAAGAATTGAGACACATTAAAAATATCTATTCAATCTTGTTTTAAAATTTATACTACTATTCAATGGCTAGGCTACCACATATGTAAAACTCCAATTTTTAATAAAGTCCAGAAGTATTACAAAATATGGAAGAAGTTCAAATATTGGGTGAAGATTTTTATCTCTGTAAAGAATATAAAGTTATTTGAATGCTCATTTAGGTTTTTGTTTCAGATGGTCTAAACTTTTTCAAACTGTTTAGTCTAATTTTGTAAGAATTTATGACAGTTCCTTGAAGACTTAAAAATTCTATGAGATAGTATACTATAAGACAAAATATTTTATATATACATACAACATCAAAATTCAATCTAGCGGACAAGTAGAAGATAGAATAGTGAAATAGTCGAGGCAAAGGGAGAAAATTCTCATTGATATTTGTTGAGGAATGTCCATGGTATTGTCTATTAAAGCAAATATATTTTAATTTACAAGTATATTGTACATTGTTCATTCTTTCTCCCATTCGTAAAGGGTATTTATGTTTGCCTGATTTTAATATTTAAAAGTAGATCATATAATAATTAGTGTCTTATATTTTAATATATCTATAAATAAACCATTTTCATCGCTTCAGAAATTTTAATAATATAGTATTTGAAAGAGGAATGACAATAAAATGAAGAAAAAGAGTGATTTAAAATTTTTATCTCCTAGATTTCTCCAACTTTATAGTGTTATTGTGTGTGTGTCTCTGTATGTCTATATGTTAATATTTTTTGAAGTTTTTAGCTGGCAATCTGTAAGTACGATTGGATGAACCCAAAACTCTAATAGCCATAAATGGAGAGCACCAAAAGCACAGTGAGATTTACATGCTTGATCTTAAAGAAAAAAACTAAGAAGTCTGAGAAAAATATTATCTGTTAGGAAAGAAATTATTTCCATTGGAGTGTATCCTTTAAAAAAGTATGTTTATACTCTCTATTAAAATTGTTCATCACCAATGCTCTTTGGGATTGTATCACCCAGAAAAAGCAATGCTTAAGGCAAAAGCTTGAAGATTTTCTTAGCAAGAAAAAAGCACTATGATGTTTTCAAAGAAAATACAGAATGTTTCTCTAATAAGCGCATTAATAATTTGCAAATATGTTGTCACATTTAGGGCAACAATTTATAGTACATTTCTCCGTAAGTATAAGAATATCTGCATTAATTTAAGGAAAACATAAAGAAGAAATAGACTAAGCAAAATTGCTTGTTGAAACAGTTTTAAATTTAAGACTTAGTTGATTCAATTCTTATACTGAATATGTGTTGACAGCTTTTCATAAACTATTCAGTCATATTAGTTCACACATATGCTCATATTTGAATTCAGCTTATTGAGTTATTTTAGGTCTCTTTTTGTTCCTTTTTGTTGCTATAAACAGGTAGTTGGTTCATCACTCAATTCCATTTTAAATTTACATAAGAAAAACTTGCTTATAAGCAATTCAGAGTATTTTACATGTTAACATATATTACCATGTCACAGAGTAAACTATTCAATTTTAGTCATTATCATCATCATTATCATTGACACTGCTAGTAGGATTACTGCTGTAATGATTATTCCTGCCATTTTTGGAAGGCATTTTAAATACTGTGTGTGAGATATACACTAGGAAAACTGGTTGCAAGTGTCACAAACAATTCACACAAGATTTAGCAGAAGTAATGCATACTGAAAGGATATCAGTATTGAGTGAAATATACTTGATTGTGAAGAGCTGAATCAAGTCTTCACTCTTCCACTTGCTTTCCGTATGACCTCAGACAAGTTACATGACCTCTCTGTGCTCCTCTGTAGAGTTGAAATATTTATATCTCCTACTTCATAAGGTTATTGTGACCAGTAAATAATTTTTTAAAAATCTAGAACAAACCCTACTGTTCAGTGACATCCGATTGCTTATAATACGTTACTGTTGATATTGCGATTGTCCTTATTAAGGCATTTCCAAATCAAAGGGAAAGTATGCAGGTGGTCCTCAAAAAGGAACGGAGGCTCAAGGATGATATGAAAAATACAGGAAGCCCTCTCTTTCTGTCTCCCACTCTGTATCACTCTGCACATTTATAGTAATCTAGTGGATATTATTATTTCCATTTTAAAACTGGAAAATCTAAAGCTTAGAGAGGCAAAATATTTTCCCAAGTTCACACAGTAAGTGCCATAGATATGATTTTTAAATCCAGTTGATATAACTCCAAGTCCATTATACTAAATGCCGTAGTAGACATTAACTAAGATTATGGAAACCATTTTTAGGTACTGTCAAGTGATGATTTATGTAGTTTTTGAATTGGTTAATTTTGAATAAATCTATAAGCACTTACAGGTTCTATGATCAGATCTCCATAAGTATAACATTCAATTTATTTGTTTTTTCAGGAAGGGAGATGGATTTGCATCAATGCAAATCATTACCTAAAATATACTTCATTACCTAAAATAATGAAGTATATGAGGCTTTTGAAACTGAACACACATTGTCCACTATATTAAAACCATGTGATCTACCTTATTAATCTAAAAAGGCTAGGATACAGGAAACTGATAAACTAGTTAATGAAGGCATTACCATCAGAGAAATAACTGCAACAAAATGATTCCTGGCACCATTGACAATGGGCAAAAGGAATGGAAATATTAAAAACTATGAAGTGACCTGTCAGAGTTTTTAATGAAAATAAAGAAAAATATAAATTTAGAACTTCTCAGGAGTGGCTCTAGGACAAATTTTTTTAAATTTAGTCTTAGGAAAATATTGAAAAGGGTGTAAGTCTAGTAGACTCTTTATGTTCTAGAAGAAGACATATGATTATATTAGCCAGAATACTCCTCGAAGAACAAAATAGATACAAATAGATTTATTATGAGCTATTGGCTTATGCAATTATAGAAGCTGAAAAGTCCCTGAATCTACTGTCTGCAAGCTAGAAACCCTGGAAAGCCGGGGTTCTAGATGTAAGGCCTAACAGCTGGAGGGATGATCGTATAGATTCCAGAGCCAGAAGGCCTGAGAACCAGGAATGCCAGGGTAAGAGATCTATGTTGCAGCTCAAACAGGAAAGAATTCAACTTTTCTCTACCTTTTTGTTCTATTCAGGACTTTGATGAATCGAATGATGCCTGTCAACAGTGGAGAGGGCCATCTGCTTTACTCAGCACCAATTCAAATGCTAATCTCTTCCAGAAACACCTACACAGACACACTCAAAAAATAATGTTTAACCAGATATCTAAGTGTAACTTGGCTCAATCAAGTCACCACATAAAATTTACCATTACAATGGATTTCTCAATAATTATGTCTAAATCATTGGAAAAACTTGAAATCAGCTCATTTATTAGATGGCAGCTTCTTGATGACACAAGGAATGATTCTCACTGATATGATTTGAGGATTGTGGGGCAAAGACCTTCTCATGCTTACTTTTTCCCCTGGTGCCTCCTACAGCGATAGTGAACAAAATGAAGATTAGTTACTTTCTGGTTAATTGTAAATTACGTTGTGGCAATTATATACTAGAAATCTTTCTTTTTTTTTTTTTAAGAGATGGGGGTTTCACTACATTGCCCAGGTTAATCTTGAACTCCCGTCCTCAAGCAATTTTCCAGCTTCAGCCTCTGAGACTGCTAGGATTATAGACGTGAGCCACCATGACTGGTCCAGAACTCGGTTACAATACAAACTTTATCATGCTGATTGAGTCCATTTAAGTTAATACACTTACTGGTTTAGGTTTAAAGAATTTGGAGGAAGTACAAATAAATGAAAAGGAAAGCTAAAAGTATATCTTAAAGGAGGACAAGTACCTTGGTTTTTCTAGACTGCTGTAAAAAATACCATAGACTGGTTGGCTTATAAACAAAACAAATTTATTTCTCACAGTTCTGGAGGCTAGGAAGCCTAAGATGAAACCTCCAGCAGAGTCAGTGTCTGATGAAGACCAGATCTCTGGTTTGTAGGTGGGACCTTCTGACGGTGTTTTCACATGGTGGAAGGGGTAAGGCAGCTCTCTGTGACCTCTCTGGTAAGGGCATTAACCTCATTCATGAGGTCTCTGCCATCATGATCTAATCACTTCTCAAAAGACCTGCCTCCTACAGTGGTAATTATGTTTTAACATGTAAATTCTGGGGGAACAAAAATATTCAGGTTATAGCAACAGGAAATTAAAAAATTTGCAGTTAGGAAATGGACTCTGTTCATTTAGCTTCTTTAATAAAGTATAGTAATTTGCAAGTCCAAGTATAAAATGCATTAAAATTGGCCTGGTAGCACTATAGTGCTTTCTTTTGTAGTTGTAGAGAATATTTTTGAAAGTATTAACAAATAGGTCGGGAAAATATTAAATATATAGTAATAATATCTATATTTTTTAAAAATTACATATTAGATTTTTAGTAAAGGAATACATATACTTTCTGAATATTGGCAAATACAGGCAAGGAATGCTTTAACTTTCATTTAAACACTGAAAACAAGGAAAACAAAGGGGAAATAATAGAAATTAATAATCTTGAAGATTATCAATGAAAAATATATCATTACTTAAATTTATGACAGATTTACTGTTTTATTAGCTAAGTGTGCTTAGACCGTAAATAAACATATTAAAATTAAAAGTTACTTATTACATTTTAAAATTCCAGTTTTAAATGTATTGATCTATCAAAATTTATCCTGTTATTTGAAAATCTACTAGCATGTTTTGGTTATGGGACTTGCACTTTTGATCAGTGCTACAAGATTTGGAGATTTAATATTTTAAAATGATTAAATCATATCTAAGCATATTTAAGCATGTTTAATTATATTTAAAAATACTTTAATGCCATTTCAAATGTTTCTTTAAAATATATGCCAAGTAGAATTTTTTAATGCAAAGATACCCTTGAGGTTTTAAAACTTTATTAGCAATTTTACTCAACATGCTTTTATTATCAACTTGGTTCTACTAGAAAGTCTGATATTTCTATATTTTCCTATAATTCATTTGCAACTTTTTAAAAATATCTGAAAGTAAACTGAATAGTAGCTTAATATAACCTTATTACTTAGTTTTATAGGCTCTACTGTATTCTCCAAAATTTATATGCTGAAATCCTAATCCTTAGTACCTCAGAATGTAACACTTTTTGGAGACAGACTCTTTAAAGAGGTAAGTAAATTAAGCAAGGCCATTAAGGTGAGCCCTAATTTAATGACTTGTATTCTTATGAAAAAAGAAATTTGGACGCAAACATACACAGAAGGAAGATGATGTGAAGACCCAGAGAGAAGACAGCCATCTACAAGCCAAGGAGACAGACCTGGAGCAGGTTCGTCCCTTACATCCTTGTTTGTCCATGCCTAGGCTTCCAGTGACCAGAAATGTAAGAAAATAAATATCTGTTGTTGAAGCCACCCCATCTGTAGTACATTGTTACATCAGCCCTAGCAAATGAATGCACCTGGAATTTATAGCAACCATAATAATCAAGGGCAGTGGCACCTAGCAACTTGCATGCATACATTTTAGTAGTTTATGAATAAATTAATCTCTATCTTATGATTGTTCATCACAGATGTCTTATAATGCACAACTTACTTATCCTTTCACAAGTAGCAGAAACAGAAGAATTGACTATAGATTTTGAGTGCATTGCATATGAATATGTGGTATTGCTAAAAATATTACAGAACATAAACAAGGAGTTCCACATCCAGCATGGGAGTGTTAGATCCTATGATGACACCTGCCCCAGTGAAATCAGTAAATATTACTTAAAATAGTGACCACTTAAACTTTCTGAAAATGGCCCTAAGGGCATACAGCAAGTGAAAAAAACATTTATTCAAGAAAATATGCAAACAGTTGTTAAGAAATGCAAAACTCTGTGTTATTTCAACCAAAAACCCACAGCATCCCTTCAACTTCCCAGGTCATTGAGAGAGAAACTCCATATCATCTGCTACAGCCAAAGCAACAGGGTACACTCTCCACCCAAATCCCAGTCAGAGGATAATCTTCCTGAGAGGGACAGTTATATAGGAGTTAATAAGAAATTACTGGCCAGGTGCAGTGGCTTATGCCTGTAGTCCCAGCACTTTGGGAGGCTGAGGCAGGCAGATCATTAGGTCAAGAGATCAAGACCATTCTGGCCAACATGGTGAAACCCCATCTCTGCTGAAAATACAAAAATTAGCTGGGCATGGTGCATGCACCTGAAGTCCCAGCTACTTGGGAGGCTGAGGCAGAAGAATCGCTTGAACCCAGAAGGCAGAGGTTGCAGTGAAACAAGTTGGCACCACTGCATTCCAGCCTGGTGACAGAATGAGACTCCGTCTCAAAAAAGAAAGTATTTAGACATTTAAAAGAGTTCTCAGTGGAATTTTCCTTTAATAAAAAGCAGCCACCAGATCATTTCTTTTCTAACAAAAAGTAGCTTGAAACATCAAGCGCAGGCACAGATAAGCAAGCCAGAATTTTGCATAGGTGAATGCTGGCATCTATGCCAGAAGCCAGGTATATCTAACATGGTGAATCCCTCTTCCCTTTTCCTTGTCACCATGTGTGCAGTTGCCATGGTGCTGGCCAGGTAAAAGCCCCATTTGCATAAGAAAAGATTAAGCTGAAATGGACAGCCTCTTCGTGGGCTATGTAAATGGCACACCTGGTCAAACCAATACATTAAGCTTTATGTAAATCAAACACCACCTCCTCAAGCCTGTCTATACAATCAACCATATCTTGCCCCAAACACAAAACTCACATGGGCACCTCCTTCTGCATGAGGAAGCTCTCTCCTCTTTTGCCTGTTAAACTTTCCACTCTTAAACTCACTTTGTGTGTGTGTGTTTGTGTGTGTGTGTCTGTGTATGTGTGTCCACATCTTTGTTTTCCTTAATGCGAGAGAATGAACCTCAGGTATTTCCCCAGACAATGATGCCACTTCATTTTGGGGGCTCATCCAGTATCTGAATCAGAATGGAAGTTATAATCATCAGAGCGAGCAGTGAGTATAGGAGTGAACCTTAACTTTCAACTGTCTTTTCATTTTGAGGCTCTTGGCCTCCAATTAAAATTAAATCAAATCAGTAAGAGGCATCCAACAGCCATTTAAATGCTGAAAAGGCAGCTTCCATTCTTAAAGTCTCAGATGTAAGGCTTGCTGGGGAGAACATGGAGAACCCCCCAATACCTATGGGTCACTAGGCATGTTGGCCATGCTTCAAAACAGTTTCCTTTCACGGAGGACCTAGCCATTATGTGAGGCTGGGAAAGGTGCTAAAGCAACGAAAGAGTTCTACACCCTGGTGTTATCCAAAGGCTTCTGGACTAACCCCAACCTTTGACCACCTGACCGGGTGTTGGCAAAAGGGTCTCCAGTTATCCTGTCACAAAATTTCTTCCTTTCCTATTCATGATTGCCATGTCTCCTATCCTCCTATCCTCTCTGTGTATGCAATGTATGGGAATTATTACAGTTCAGGGAACTAGTACTGTTAGGAAAAATTAGCAAATGCTGTAGTAACTGGGAATCCTATCTATTTTCTGTGATTCTCTAGGAGCAAAGCATCTCTCCTAATAATCACTTCTCTCTCTACTCTTCCTCTACTGAGCATATGGGCATATGGTATTTCTTTTTTTTTTTCTTTTTTCTTTTTTTTTTTTTTTGAGTTGGAGTCTCGTGCTGTCACCCAGGCTGGAGTGCAGTGGCATGATCTTGGCTCACTGCAACCTCTGCCTCCCAAGTTCAAGCTGTTCTTCTGCCTCAGCCTCCCTAGTAGCCAGGACTACAGGTGTGTGCCACCATGCCCAGCTAATTTTTGTATTTCGAGTAGAGGTGGGGTTTCACCATGTTGGCCAGGCGGGTCTTGAACTCCTGACCTCAAGTGAGCTGCCTACCTTGGCCTCCCAAAGTACTAGGATTACAGGCATAAGCCAATGTGCCTGGCAGAGCACATGGTATTTCTAAGCCAACACCACCACCTCGTGGAATAGAAATCCTCTCCATGAGGCAGGATTTCGGTCTGCGCTTTGCCCTGACACTCTAGCTTCCCAATTCTCCTCCCTTTTTGTGATCCTATACTAGAGACCAGGCTGTATGCCTCTTCTGTGAACAGGAAAACTCTGCTTTCAACAATTAGGAGTAAAATTCTTCCAAAGCCAAATTTAAGTTCTGATACTGTCCCATCATCAGGAAAACTGCCATTAGGTCCCTACGTTCTTTTAAGGCACCCATTTTGCCCCAGTTAAAACAGTACTTAATAGTAAGAGGATTTAAAGTCCAGAAGTTAACCAGAACAATTCTCTAAGGGTAAATGCTTAAGCATGGGCTATAATAGTGGGAAACAGAGTTCAATCTAGCACACTCCTGATCCATCTTTTGGGGATGCACACAGATCACACGAATCTAGGAATTCAAAGGGGAATCACAAGAGGAGAACTAGGGCTGCATGGGTACACATGACTAATCCCATCACCTGGTTTCTCTAGTTCCGTTGCTTGGAGGGTCATGCCTACAACCATAGACGGCACATCTAACAAGGGGCTAGGGTCCCTTGTTAGGACCCAGGAGGGAAAACAGTATGGGGGATACTCCTACTGTCTTCCCTTTCACCCTAGGTCACACTGAAAGGAGGGAGACTAAAGGAAAGCCCTTTCTTCTCACTTATCTTTCTAGATTGGTAACAGACCAACTTCAGCTTGCACCCCTCTGGAGTGCATTCTGAAACACTGGAACTTCTTCAACCCGAGGACTTTGAAGAGAAAAGTGACTCATTTTCTTTTGCACGATGTTGTGACCTTTGCAAGCATTGTAAAACCAACCCAGCTCTTTTAGTAGTCATATCAGGCAGGCCTATAAAGAATTAGAAAAGCAATTTCTGGGATGAACCATCTGAGAATCCCCCATATTTAGGGCTCCCTCAAGTTCTTTTCTCATTACAGGACCTTAGGCAAATAAAGGAAGACTTAGGTCGATTTTCTGACAATCCCTACAGGTATATAGAAGCTTTCCAAAATTTAATTCAGGTGTTTAACTTCACATGGAGGGATGTTATGCTGCTCCTAAGCCAAACCCTAACTGCAATTGAAAAGCAGGCAGCTCTACAGGCAGCAGAGAATTTTGGAGATGAGAAATGTGTTTCCTATAATAAACTAAAAAAGAAGAAAGGATATAGGGAAGACAAAGAAATAATAGAAAAACCATTTCAGATAGGAAGGGAAGTAGTTCCTCTTGACAACCCTGATTGGAACCCCAATAGCTGTGCAGATGAATAGAAAAGGAAACACTTTTTAATATGCATATTAGAGGGCCTACGAAGAAAGAGGGCCAAACATCTTAATTACTCTAAACTGTCCATGAAAGAAAAAAAAAGTCAGATGAGAATCCCACAGCCTTAATGAAAAGGCTGAGAGGCACTAATAAAATACACTTCCTCATCCCCTGATTCAGTCGAGGGACAGCTCATTCTAAAGGACAATTTATTACACAGACAGCTCCCAGTATTAGAAAAAAATTACAGAAGCAGGCTGTAGTAACAGATAGCACCTTGGAGAACCTTCTGAAGGTGGCCACTTTGGTAGTTTATAATAGGGGCGAGGAGGATGCCCAAGAGAAAGAGAGGAAACTCAGGAGAAGGACAGAGGCTCTAGTAGCTACTTTGCAGGCTTGCAAAGTCCAGGATCCCTGAGGTGCATCTCCTAATTGCTATCAGTGTGGCAAGTCAGGGCACTTTAAAAAAAAGTATCCAGGCAGCAAAAAGAAGCCACTTCAACCCTGTCCAGCCTGTGGCAGAGACCACTGGGGATCAAACTGCCCCCTGGAGATGGAGGTCACTGAGTTCAGAACCAGTCTCACAGATGGTCCAGTAGGACTGAGGGGTCCCAGTGCTCAAACCCCTGGCTCCAATAGCTCAAACGGTCATTACAGCACAGGAGCCTAGGGTAACTCTGAAAATTAAAGGAAGGAACGCTAGAGCCAATCTCTCTCTCTTCTCCTCTCTAATCCAGACCTCCCCACTTTCCATAGCCTGACCATAAGGGCCATCTCAGGAAAAACTCCACTCTAATCCAATATTTGTCTCAACTCCTTAGTTGGAGTTGGGGGGACCTATTATTTACAGATGCCTCCAAGCTGTTGCCACAGTGGCTATACTAGTCAGATAAGCCTCCAAATTGACCCTAAGGAATAACTGTTTACACTCCACATAATGTGCAGGATTACTGTCCTCTAAGGGGAACCTTTGGCTAACAAACAGCCAGTAAAGCAAGAAATTCATAAGGCAGGATATGTAATAGTCACTGTAACTGATGTCATTGAAAGTGCGTCTCCTTCTCCAGGCACAAGCACTCAATTAGCTGAACTGATAACTCCTGGAACAACACTTAAATTAAGCAAGTGAAAGGTAGCTAACATTTACACTGACTCCAAGTATGCTCTCTTAGTTCTCCACACTCATGCTGCCATTTGAACGGAAAGACATTTTCTTATCATTAATGGATCTCCTATAAAATATCACCAGGAAATTAACAGGTTATTATCCTCAGTTTTCCTTCCACAAGAAATAGCAGTAATGCATTGTAGGGGACATCAAAATGGAACAGATGAAGCAGCAGAAGGAAATAGGTTAGCTGATCAGTCAGCTAAGGAAGGAAGCTAAGCAAGGAAGCTAAGCAAGGAAGTCTCAAGGCATCAACACACTTCAATCCCCTTTAATCCGGGAAGGCTCTGTCAAAGAAATTAACCCTCAGCACTCCCCTGTAAAAACAAAATGGACCACTTCTTGAGGGTGTGCTTCCAGCCTTCAGGATGGCTACAGTCAGCGACTGGCAAACACCATTTGTCAGTCTCCGGCCAATGGAAAATCCTTAAAATCCTTCACCAGGCTTTTCACTTGGGAAAGCATAAAACTTACCAATGTGCCCAGAGATTGTTTACAGAAGAAAACTTACTAAAAACAGCCAAACAGGTTGTAAATGTCTGTGAGGTCTGTCTTAAAAAATAATCCTCTAAACAGATGGCTCTTTTCTCCTCAAACACAAAGGATAGAAAACTATCCAGTGGAGGAATGGCAGGTAGACTTCACCCACATGCCACATGCAAAGGGCATGCAATACCTCCTGGTATGGGTAGATACTTTCACCAACTGGGTAGAAAGATGTCCATGCTGTAGAGAAAAGGCCTCTGATATAATAAAAGTATTAGTTAATTAAATAACTTCCCACTTTGGCCTACCTAAGTACCTTCAAAGTGACAGTGGCCCCTCATTTAAGGCAGATGTCACACAGCGGGTCTCAAAAAGCACTAGGCATACAGTGCTTAGGCATACAGTCATCTCCATTGCCCTTGGAGTCCTCAGGAAAGGTAAAGAAAACAAATGATATTATCAAAAGACTCCTCAGAAAACTATCCCAGGAAACTCACCTTCCTTGGGTCACTCTTGTTTCCATGGCCTTACTATGGGTAAGAAATACACCTTTCAAAATGCTGTATAGATGGCCTTCCTTACCGATGGTTTCTTATTAGATCAGGAAGCCCCTAAGTTGGTTAAGCATATTACCTCTCTGGTTCACTTGCAACAGGAATTAACACAACAATTAGCAAAAGCCCAAACCCAAGAAATAGAACCACCGTTATTTAACCCAGGGTACTTGGTAATAGTATAAACACTCCTCTTTCTCTCTTCTTCCCTAAGCCTAAGCTGGGGAGTGCCCTACACCGTTCTTCTTTCAACCCCCTTGGCAATAAAAGTGTACAGGAATCAACTCTTGGATACATTGCACTCAAGTCAAAGCCTGGAGAGCTAAGGGAGCACCTCTGACAGCCCAGAGGAATGTCCTAAATATCAATGTGAAGAAATAGAAGATCTTAAGCTGAAAATCATAAAAGATAAGTAACTGAGTGAGGGTTACTCAGCTTACTGAGTCCCACCTTTACCTCACCAAGTACTTTTTGTCATTTAGACTTTTCCAATCAAAACTCATCAGCAAATATTAGAACTTTGTTTTAACATATATTTGCAAGGAAATTTTTAATCATTCATGGGATTGCATTTGTAACTTCGTAGACCGTCAAAGGAAAATTCCATATCTTAGCAAGTAAAATTTTAAATAGAAATTATCTATGACACCACCCTTGCAGGAATTGATATACTCACTCTATGATTTGCAGTAGAACTATACACTATGACACCTGCAATGTGGAATTCTGGTTGTAAAATTCTAATTGCTGTAATAGTCTGCTTAATTATCATCTTTATAACAGGATTGACAATTGCAGGAAAGATTTAGCCAAGGTTGTTTTGCTTAATTACTATCCATATAGCAGGGGTAATAGTTACAGAAAAGATGTAAGCATGAAAGATTTATTGTCACTGAGCTTACTAGGACTTTTTATTAAGGTTGGTAATATGTTGCACTCTAGCTATGAAAAGAAGTTTGTAAAGAAAAGAGATTTTATATAAGGAAGGATCTTGTATGGTAAATTCTTGTTCTAAAAGGAAATGACTGAGTGTTTAAAGGAAGAATGTTTAGAAGTCAGAAAGTTTAAGAATGTTGTAAGATGGTCTGTGAAAGTCATGAAAGGATGAATAATTGAAGAAAAGAAATTGCCAAGATTAACACTGAAGTTACTTTAGCCACCCAATAAAATATTTCTTCCAATCAAATTACAAATTATAAAAAGTGGCCTAGACCAAAAATTATCTTCTAATGGTGAATCTGGGAGGGAAACACATGTATTTTCTCAAAGAAAAATATTACTTATATATTAACACTTCTGGTAAAATACAGTAAAATCTGGTGGAAGCAAGCTAGTGTTAAAATCCACTAAAATAGTTAACCGGTATCAAACTTCACTGTCATAGTTATGGACTGTAGTACCTGCACTAATAATAGTAATCTTAATACTCATGTTCAAGCCCTATATTCTAAATCTTCTTGTAAAATTTATCTCTTTTTGCCTAGAAGCAATCAAACTCTAAATGATGCTATAAACAGAACCACGCATGAACACGCCATTCTTCTGAGGACCCTTAGCTCAACCCCAGGAGGAGCCCTAGCTGCTGTTCCCCCAAACAATGCCCCTTTTTAACAGGAAGTAGCCTGAAATAGTCGTTGTCCAACATGCCCCAAAACAGAGATGCTTCTCCTGAGGAGGGAAATGATACAGGTTTTAATAAGAAATTATTTAGGCAGTTAGTGAGGATAAAAGAGTTCTTGGTGGAATTTTCCTTTAATAAAAAGCAGCCCCCAAACCATTTCTTTTCTAACAAAAAGTAGCCTGAAACATCAAGCTGCAAGCATAGATAAGCAAGCTAAAACCTTGCATAGGTGAGTTCTGGCAGCTATGCCAGAAGCCAGGTATATCCAACATGGCGATTGCTTCTTCCCTTTTCCTTGTCACAATGTGTGCAGGTGTCATGGCAATAGCCAAGTAAAAGCCCTATTTGCATAATAAAAGATTAAGGTGGATGGCCAGCCTCTTAGCAGGCTATGTAAATGGCACACCTGATCAAACCAATCCTCTACACCCTATGTAAATCAAACACCGCCTCCTCAAGCCCCTCTATAAAATCAACCAAATCTCACCCCAAACTTGAAACCCACTTGGGCATCCCCTTCCTCTGCACAAGGAAGGTCTCTCTTCTTTTGCCTATTAAACTTTCTGCTCCTGAACCCACTTCGTGTGTGTGTGTGTGTTTGCATCTTTGTTCTCCTTAGAGCAAGACAACAAACCCTAGGTATATCCCCAGGCATCGATGCCGCTTTGACAGAACATCAGCATTTTCCATTTGCCCCTAGCTGCCTCATTCTGAGGCTAACATCTGCACAATTGAGGCCTAGATGTAGGGTCTCCCTTCACCTTCCCAACCTCCAGCTACCTTGAGAACAGCACTGCTGAGAATAGTGGGACCCTAATTTCTCCTGCCTTGGCTCCTGGGGTGTGTGCAGCCTGGATGTCTGAGACACGTCTCAGTTAATTTAGAAAGTTTATTTTGCCAACGTTGAGGTTGCAGGCTGATGACACAGCTCAGAAGGTCCTGACAACATGTGCCTGAGGTGGTCAGAATACAGTCTGGTTTTATACTTTCAGGGATACATGAGACATCAATCAATATATGTAAGATGAACATTGGTTTGGCCCAAAAAAGGTGGGACAATTCGAAGCAAAGGCAGGACAACTTGAAGAGGGGAACGGGCTTCCAGGCATAGGTAGATAAGAGACAAATAGTTGCATTCTTTTGAATTTCTGATGAGCCTCTCCAAAGGAGGCAATCAGATTTGCCCTTTATCACAGTGAGCAGAGGGATGACTGAATAGAATGGGAAGCAGGTTTGCCCTAAGCAGTTCCCAACTTGACTTTCCGCTTTAGCTTAGTGATGTGGGGCCTTCTTGTAAAATTTCTCTCTTTTTGCCTAGAAGCAATCAAACTCTGAATGATGCTGCAAACAGAACCACGCATGAACATGCCATTCTTCTGAGGATGCTTAGCTTAACCACAGGAGGAGTCCTAGCTGCTGTTCCCCCAAACAATGCCCCTTTTTATTTATTTATTTTCCTTTTACAGGTGTAAGTGACACATCGAGAGAATCAAGCTGAAAACACTTGGGCCGGCTGCCCTGCCCATCTGCTAAACACTCAGCTCCTAAAGTGGGAATGTCTGTCCAGAAAAAGTGAATAATTATCCCTGCCCCAGCACCAGGGCAGTAGCTCAGAGATTTGGGGGGAAAGCAAACTGTAGAAGAGAGCCCTAATCCTGCCTCCAGAGGAAATGACATAATTTAGCACAGTTCATGGAGAAAATCAAGCCTAGGGGTACTCTCAAAAATAGTGAAAGTTGTGCTGAAAGGGAATTGGGAGATTAACTCATTGCAGATGTAAGTCTGCTAGGTGTTTTTTGTTTTTTGTTTTTTTTTTGAGACGGAGTAATTGCCCAGGCTGGAGAGCAATGGCACGATCTCGGCTCACCACATCCTCTGCCTCCCGGGTTCAAGCGATTCTCCTGCCTCAGCCTCCTGAGTAGCTGGGATTACAGGTTCCCGATACCACACCCAGCTAATTTTTGTATTTTTTAGTAGAGACGGGGGCTCACCATGTTGGCCAGGCTGGTCTCCAACTCCTGACCTTGGGTGATCCACCTGCCTCAGCCTCCCAAAGTGCTGAAATTACAAGTGCGAGCCACCACGCCAGGTCAGGTTTGCTAGTTTTTAAAGAGGAACAGGGAAAGAGGTTGGAAATAACTTCTTCTGGTCATAACACATCTTAAACACTGTACTCAGGAACTATCTCCTCAAAGAAGCTGGATGAGTCACTAAATTATTTTATGTCTAAAGGCATTGTTAAAAACAATTGATTAATCAGCCAGCAATCAATGGAGTTTACACTTGAGTGTGGTTAAGAAAGAGACAGCCAGAGAAAGAGAATCCCACCATACCACCATCATCCCAGGTGACTGTGCACAAACCCAAGACTGTGGCCCCTGGTGAGCAGCATCAGAGGCTTCACACTGCAGAGTAACGTTGGGGTTGGGGTGAGTGTGTATGGCAGTAGGAGGAGTCGTTAGCAAAATAATCCAGGCAGTCACTAAAGTAGACAAATAAACAACAATAACAAACTCTGGATGTGGGGGAAGGTGGAAACCAATACACAGGCTTGCTGCAATATACAGTTAATTCTTATTACTAAAGGCACTTATGTTCTATAAATTACCACAAACACTGAATTAATAAATCCTAAACTATTTGCTCTTGGGGAAAACATAGACATAGGTTCCAGCAAGCCAAATTTTTGTCAACGGATCAATGCAACCTTGTTATTTGTATGTTTCTGTTTGAAGAAACTTTATGTAGTATATAATCCTGATTCATTAACATTAAACTCAAAGCCAACAGCACTATTACTCACATCTGAACAAAGCTTATCTAACACACGTCTTTTCTCCATAGAGCCCACTTGGGACAAAAGACAGCACTTTAGCACTATGCTTGGGGATCATTTTAAACAGTGAAATAGCACAAAAAAAGTGGCTCTGACGGACTGTGAAAAGACACTTGTTTGTAATATGAGATTGCCATGTTTGACCTCAATTGAGATCATGTGCATTGGGTGACTAAAATATGTCACTTGCCTTCTCCTATCCATGAAAGACCACAAAAGCACAGTGAATATTGATTTGGTGGGGGAGAGCAGGGGGTGTCAAATTTTAGCAAGTAGGTAAATTCACAAATAAGGAATTTGTGAATAATGAAAACCAGCTATATGATCTAAATGGCCCAATTTCCAACAAAAAATTACTAGACATGCAAAGAAACAGGAAAATATGACCCATATAGATTTTAAAAAGCAGGCAACAAAAATGATGAAAGCAAACAGAATTCACATTTGAAAGACAAAGCCTTTAAAGTAGCCACTGTAAATAAGCTTAAAAAATTAAATGAAACCATGATTAAACAAGTAAAGGAAGATATGATGACAGTGTTCAATGTTGACTGTGATTGGGCTGATAATGCATACATGCCCAGACATATTTTCATTTTGTTCAGTAAGAATAAAATGTGGTTAATTGTTGGAACAGGTCACTGAAAAACTGTTGATTGACATAAATTCATTTCATAAAATATTTATATAACATATATAACATATGTAATATTTATATAACATATGTAAATGATGCTTTTATGTTAAGCCCAATGAAATAAAGTTTAAAAATTCAGAATGTTATAAGAAAGCATGATGAAACTATTTTTCATCTTTACATTTTTATACTTCCCGTGTCCTTTTGTTGCTTATTTGTTTAAGGTATATCTTTTGCAAGCAACATATACCTGAGGTTTTTTAAAGATAATATTTAATTTGTGCATTTTAACAAGGGACTTAAAATCTGTATATAATTTTGGTTATTACTGATATATTTGAACTCATGTCAACTATTGCCTAATATGTTTAGTCTTTATTATGATTTTATCTTTTTCTTCAAATTCTTTCTGAACTTCTCTTAGATTATTTTTTGTGCTAATTTGGAAATTATAAATTTTATTCATATTATGTTATTACTTCAATATTTTATCAACCATACTTATCTTCATAATTTCCTGAGTCTAATGTAAATTAGTGTTTTAATATTACCCTTCCTCAAAAGAGGTGAATCTCAATGCTAAGTCTTCTATGAATTATTTTATTATCTAGCTTTACTGTTGAGTCCATTGTGTCTTGTTTAAAATGTTTTCTATTTTATTCCCATTTTCCAGCATGTTTTCAGAAACTTAGATTGTATTTTCTGTGACTTATCTTTTTAGCTTCAGGCTATTTTGTTTTCATGCTGATAGGTCTATATCTTAATTTTTTTTTACAAAATCTATACAATATAAATTATTGTCTCTCTACCCCAAAATATCTCTACTGTGTTCTTATTTTAAGTGACAGTTTACCTAGGTTTAGAATTCAGCATTGATGGTTATTTTCCTTCATTTTTTTGAAAATATTAATCCGATTTATGTCCGAAATAAATTTTTACAGATAAAAGTTCCATTGTGCAATGCCATTTATCTGTTGATCATCTGTTTTATCTCCTGAGTAATTTTTATTTTTGCTTTATCACCGTAATTCTTTATTTTAAATATAAAATTTCTTGTTTTGGATGTGTTTTACTTTCCTCTTCAACACTAGATATTTATTTTATTTTTAAGGATTTATATATTCCTTCAATTCTTAAAAATCGTCAGACATATCTTCTTTTTTTTGAACAATGTCTCTGTACTCTGTGTTCTCTCATTGTCTGAAACTTTTGCTAGACATCTGTTGGAACATCTCAATAGGTTCCTTATTTCTCAAATTCATTTTTATGTTCTAATTTTCATATATCTTTTTGTCGTTAATTCTACGTTCTGTTTGTCCATACTACCTGTTTTTTCCATCGTATTAGCAATATATATATATATTATGTGTGTATATTTATATCTATATCTATATAATGTGTGTATATTTATATCTATATGCCTCTATTTGGTCTTTTCAGTTCTCTTAGATCTTGAATGTGTCTGTTTCTCACTGCTTCATAAATTGTTATTCTTTTTGTCTATTTCTACTTTTATTCCTTTGAGTTCTTCATCATATTTATTTTATGTCTTTGTCAAATTGCTCATTGGACTTAATTAATTGGATGGATTCACCCATTTATTGAAATTATGGGCTATTGTTTATTACTGTAGTTTTTCTGTTACGTTGTGAAATTTAGGCTGCAGGCTCATCTTAAGAGCTGCTTCTCTTCGTTTTTCTCCTTCCTTCTTTTTCTTCTTAAATCTACTTCCCTCTAAACCCATAATATCATGACCTTTCATGTCTGAAATTATGTTTTACTCTACCTGATAAAGCAAGTTTTTCATTTCAAAATCTGCAATTATATTGATAATCCAGGGCTGTCATTCTGTGGAGGCAGTATTGATCCATTTTGATGGTCAGTGCTTGTCTTGCTCACGGTCCTGGTCATGTGGCTCCCCCCACTGCAACAACAGCTCAAGCCAAATGTAGACCTATGCAATCATTGTGGGTATTTAACCTCCTTTCCCAGAAATAGAGAATATGCCATTTTTTTAGCCTTATACAGTGAGCCTGGTTCTCCATCTTGCCATTTCTGAAACACATTTGCCTCCTTTTTTTTCCCCCAGCCTGGAATTCAGGTCTGTGCCTTCTACTTCCGTCTATTTCTCTGTGTTTTGGGTGAACGGACATTTTATATTGTCTCTGACCATGGTTATGTCATTTTAATTTGTTTTGACATATATTGAGCCCATAATTTTTCTAAATTTAATTAGGGGTGTTGGCTGTTTCTCTGTGAATTCACGGTACAACCTTGACAGGAAGAGAATATACTTTGATAATCAAAGTCGGGTAGAGATAACTAAAAAATGCATGCTCTATCATCAGAAGGTGCAAATGGTCATAAAGTTTACTTTTCTACATGTTTCCTCTTTTAAAGTGAAGATAATCTACCAGGGTAATTACATGTTATTGTTTTGATTTTAAATTTTATTATTAAATTATCATTATTTCCTTTTACAATATGCAATCTTTTAAATTTTAATGACATGCAGATATTTTAAAGTTCCAGAATATGTCATTGCATTGTCTTCTGTATTTGAGTCTTTCTGCTTTTATTACTTATCTGCCTATGCTATTTAATGATATAGAAATATAGAAATCTGCTTTAGAAATTCAAAACACATTTTCTTAGCTTATCGTGTGAAGTAATAACATATATATATATGTGTGTGTGTGTGTGTGTGTGTGTATATGTGTATATATATATGTGTGTGTGTGTGTGTGTGTGTATATATATATATATATATATATATATATATATATATATATGTATATATGTTGGTCTTTGCCCCAAGTTCCTGACACAGAGCACCTAAAACCCTGCTTGACAGGGATGATTGGAGAGTAACTGTTCTAATATTTGAACTTCGACTGCAGTTCCTGACACAGGGCTCCTAAATAACCTTGGAATTTTCTGGGTGATAGGAATGTCTGTTGTTCTAATGAGGCAACTCTTAATGGGCTGGTCGTAAGAAAGATCAAGCCATGATTAGAAGTTTAGAACACTGGCTGGGCAAAGTGCTGTGTAATGCCAGCACTTTGGGAAGGCGAGAGAATCACTTGAAGCCAGGAGTTCAAGACCATCCTGAGCAACATGGTGAAACCCCCATCTCAAAAAAAAAAAAAAAAAAAAAAAAATTAAAAAAGAAGCTTAGAACTTTCAACCTCATCAAGTAGAACAAAAATTTGAGTCATTAGCTAACACATTTCTTTCTGATTGGGAAGCAAAATTAAGATAAAAAGAGTATTAAAGCAGTAAATATTTATCAAAGAAAATTGAGGTTTTTATTTCTTTTGGTTGGTCAACTGCCAAGCACATAACAGATGATCAAGAAATATTTTTTCATTGTTCTTCTTTTTTAATTCATTCATTTAGTGTTTGGAGTTTATATAAATTTTACATAATAATTTTTTGGGTCATCTGATTTAACAACTAAGAAAATAACACTAAGGGTGTTCAGAGAGTTTTGAAAGGTGGTCTCTGTATCATGCATTACGATTTGCCATCTTGAAATGAAATGCCAGCCAAAACACTTTTTACAGACAATATTTAGTAAACATTAGTAGTGTTTTAATAAACTTTTGTGCTGTGTAGGTTGCAGAGACAATATAAATGCTCCTTATGAAGTCCACAATTAATAATCCAAGAGTTAAAACTGAAAAAAAACAGGATGTTCTAAGAGGGATATAGTGGCACAATGCATGATCCTTACTCATCTCATTCATTAGCTATTCTTATAGGATTATATATGTACTCTGTTTCTTCTTTAGGTACTCTTAAAGTAAAAACATAACACAACAAAAACAGAAACTAATTTTTTTCTTTGTATGCTTAAAGATGACATTCAAAAACAGCAGATAAATTAATCACTATCATCATTTAAGTTAACTGTCAGCCTTTGGAATGTGCTAATTTTACAAAAACATGGCTCTTCTCTAAACTTTTCTTCATTTCTTTTTTGTATACTTTGTTCTGTTATCCTTAGAATTAATCCCATGAAGTCATTCTGTCATCTTAATTTATCAACACCATTCCTTAGAAGGGTTTGCAAGTATAATCCCATGGTGACACACAAATTATGATAAACTATGGGACCAAATCATGCTTCTTAATGAAATAATACATTTGCATGGATTGAAGCTGATATACAAAACATGTCTGCAAACAGCCTGATACTAGCCAAGTTTTGTTGATTCCCACAATAAAAATGTACTGGCATTCTATTTGTATTGCAGCTTGAAAATTCAAATGGAAATAGCCTGATGTATGTATACCAGAAGAAAACTTTAAATACAATTTAAAATTAAAAATAAATTTTGTTTTGTTAATTCACATTAATAAAACAATTATCTTAAAATTGGCATGATTTCCTGTTTGATCTTCCAGTTTCATGTTTTAGACTCAGCAAACTCTATCTTCTATAGAGTTGATTACTTATAATTTCATAGAGCCAAGATTCTTGAGAACACATCACTGAAAATGAAATTTGAATTGTACGTTTTTTGTATTAATTCAGTCTGAGGGATTTCTGATGATTGCTTCTACAAATCCCAACAAGGGAATATTTTATTTTGCTCCTTCATACCAAGAGGTAAGATTTTACAGTTTAAATGGTTTTCAGTGTTGGAACATTAATACATTTATAGAAAATAGATGGACCATCTTCTTAATATTTACATTATTAGATAAAAAAATGCCTAATTTTCTTTGTAAACCCATAATATTCTCTGAAAAATAGAGAGAGTCCTCTTTATAAGGAAATCACAAACTATTGAAGTCGAATTAGCACTTAAAATTAGTCTATCTTCATCTCATTCTCAATTAAAGAATTTCTTCTTCAAGTTTCTTATTAAATAATCATTTGGTGTCTACTGGAGGAATTTCAAAGATGTGAGCCCACTAGTCTCTCTCAACTAATAATTTCAACATTTTTTCTTTCTTTTGTAGTTTTCTTCCCTGTAAAATATATTCTGTTCCTCAACCAATATTTATGGAACACTGTGCTAGGAATTAATAATGAAACTGAGCTTGCATTTGAGAACCTCTCATCAACTGGAAAAACACACCAACAGCTGCTAATTCCTACCTCAGCTCAGATGAAGTATATGAAGAGAAGTGTGCCCCTAAGTTTATCTTTCTAGGTTGGAAATCTGTAAGTGAGTACATAGCAGCTCAGGTGACTGTGTCCAGACACTATCCTCGTCACCTTCCCTTAATGCTCTCTAGTTCCGCAATACTCTTTTATAAATATGGAACCAATACTTACTATTAGACCTTTAGGTGTATATGCCCATAGCAAAGAAAAGAATTATGAGTGACATTATTTATTCCTTTGATAATTTTAATTTAAATATACACCATTTCTTAGATTTTCCCCTGTCTTATATTCATTATTTTGAGTCTATTGTCTCAGGTTACCAAACACACTTTACGTTATTTTTCATAGCATGGCGCCATCTATGATTTTTTCAATTTCCTTTTCTATATTGTAATCTGATTAATCAATAAAAATAAGGTGGGGGGTCAATGACAAAACGCTAAGCTATATGATTATAGACCTCTCTTGATTGGGACACGAAGTCTGTGGAAAAAGCAATGGTGTATACATTTTTTAAGAAGGTTATTCAGTTTTGATATGATATTCAAATAGGTCTTGAGACTTCATCCTCCCATAATATATTTAAGAGTTAGTCCTCAAAAATAAATTACTAATGTCAACATGCATTAAATCTGAATTTAGACTAATATTAATTTGTCTACCGTATGTATGATACAGCCTTCCTTTAAGGCATGATTTTGGTGTTACATCTATAATCCACAGTAAGCAAATTCCTTACTTAACATTAAAATGTTTCACAAAAAGATAAACACCAAAGAGAACAAATTCCTTTAAGAAAACCAAAACAAAATAAGAACACTTGTTTCCATAAGGTGCAAACATATTTTAATTACTCTAATAAAATATCTTGAATTAATGTATGTATTTTTGCATTTTGAAGAACCCGTGCCCCCTTAATCACAAAAGTCTGCAGTTGAAAAATATTTTGTTGGAGTTTTGTCATATACTTTCAAGGAGATACACAATGTCTAAGTAATCATGTAATCTCAGTAATCTCTGCATGTTCTGATAAATAAACTTTACAAATATCTCTATACTTTAATTTAAAATTGTATTGTTTTAATAAATTAGTAAACAAAACAACCATGAATGTGATGCTAATCTAAGTTACTCATACTCTTTTATTTGACACTTTTTGTTTCCCTAGTAACAATTTCTTCTCTTATCCAAACACTTGTCACTTATTTTTATTTTCTGCCGTTAACTTCTAAGTTTTATGAAGGATTATGTCTATCTTATTCTCTGTTATATCCCCAAATTCTAGCATGGGGCCTGGCATACAATGCATGAGCACTGACTGTCTTTGACTGAATTATAAAACAAAATGAAGGTAAAAGTTCTGGGAAACAGAAGATTGAGAACTTCAACTAAATATTGCTTGACTTTGGCCACATTTCACCCTTGAGAAAAGCAAGCGGATGCAACTTATTATTTCTAAGGTCCAACTCAGATATGGGGTTTTCATTATTTCATTTGTGATCTAAGAATTGTCAAGAACTAAAAATATATGTAGAATGTTCTTTCCCAGAAGGCCTTATTAAATTTTAAGCCAGGCTCGACAAGCATGGATGTTAGGAGAGTCCAGGTGCTGTTTTGAACACCACATCCTTTTCAGCAACGTAGAAGCTGCTTTCCACTGCAAGGAAACATACTACAGCCCTTCACACTCATCTTCCCACAGTGGAGGGGCGGCCATACACTTCCTGGAGAATAAGCACATACTCTGCAGTGGGCACAAGGAGCTGGCTCAATTCTATGGGAATGAGAAGTAGCTACAATCTCACTGTGTTAGAGCATAATAGCGTCCTTTAATTACACATCTACAGGGCTTCCTTAGCTGCTAGGAGACCCCGCTCAAGTGTTCAATGAAGGAAACCCTCTTGATTCAAAGATTCAGGATATGCAGATTTGAATACCCACTGCATCCTGCCCCCCTGGTGCCACTCTAGCCCTCTGTTGCCTGCAGATGGCCCGGCCTGGCAAACACTCTCCTTGTTCAAAGGGAGATTAGCAGGTGTTAAAGACCACTGGCTCTTAATCAAGTATTTCCCCTAATGTAATCAGAAAACTGAAAGAACATGGAAGAGGAAAGTTAAAGACAGAAAGTTAGCAGCTGTTAGAAGCATTTTATGTAGAAAATGGATACTCATGGATTTTTAATGCACAGAACCCTTAGAAGCCCCTCTACAAAAACAGACTTCCTGTAATCTGACCGTGAGACTTCACTTGCCAAGTCCTTTTGTCCCCCTGAATTGAACTATTGTATATTTTTATATACTACCATTCATGCATATATAAATTAGCAATGGAAAAATCAGCCTAATTATTATCCACTTCAGATATCAGAATTGAATCTCTAAGCATGGATAAGGAAATGCAAAGTTATTCAGAGTAGATACATTTTCTGGGTGTATTTTATTTGAATCTGAATTATCTGAGGTTGTTAGGATGATTGCCCACAATGACAATTTGCAATCATACCCAAACAAAACTAAACTTCCCTATAACTTGCATTATGTTTCTGTTCGCTTACTTTTAAAATATTATTAAGACTTTTTTTCTCACTATGTTTCTCACATGCATCGATGCACACTAGAAGTATCTTTTGGTAGAAAAACAACATTTGTCTTGGTTTAAGATAGGAGGCAAGTCTACTTTCTGAGATTAGCAATTATTTGTAAGACTCACAATTATATAATAGAATGAATGGAAAAAACAGAATTCAGAATCCATACCATCCACAGCTGGATTAATATACCTCAAGTATTTTTCACCATGGTGTTCTCTAGCCTATTCCTTTTTTTTTCTACAGTATTTCTCTAGTGACAGTGCCATCAAACTGAACTCATCTCTTTAGCCCTCAAAGTTCTCTGTAATAGGAATTATAGCCAGATTTTTAACCTTAGTCCTAATACATTTCCAATATTATTCTTTTGCTCTAAAGAATTCTGGTTATTTGCTACTCATTCCACACTTTACGGTCATATTAACCAAGATAATTTAACAATGCTTGTGGCATAGCTCAGAAGACAGTGTGTATTTTTTCATAAATGAAACATTTAAAATCAAATACATTTTTTTCTGTCTAACATATCATGTTTGATTCTAAAACCACATGTAAAGAATATTAAGGCAAAGGGTAAGAAAAAAAATCTACTTTGATCTGAAGTTCCTGTGTTAAAGTGCATGACAGAATGTTTTCGAAAAACTGATTGAATCTCACATACATAGTGCCTCACAGAGAACTGCAAGATAGCAACTCAAATGTCACTTGTTTACTTAGGGAGGCTTATGTGACAGAGTTAAATAAAGTGTGTGCATTATACTTTTTATGAACTATGCTTATGAGCACAAATTGTAGTTTAAAGTCATTTTAAAACCATTTTAAAGACGAAAACATGATAATGTTTCCTGTGAAAAATACATTTTGTATTTACTACTACAGATTTTGTGACTATGTGCATTATTTTAGGAATATATTATACAACATTTCTCTATTGTCAATAAAAAGGGTCAATAATTTTAGTATGTACTAAATCTCAGGCAGTACTTTGCATGGGTAAACATTTTATTTTATTAAACTCATTTTAATACTCATTTTTTGAGGTTGTATGTATTATGATACTAATTTTATAGATAAGAAATCAGGTTCAAACAGGTGAAGCAGATTGTACGTATTTGCCTATTCAGTACGTGTGAGGCCATGATTAAATGAAGTCGATATAACTCCAAAGTATGTGCTTTTTTCCAATGTTAGCAATATCTCAATCTTGGTTTTAAAACACAGTTAATTCAGCATCATCGATAGATAGTGTTTATCTCAAGTCTATGGAGCAGTAATTTTTAAATTTCAGAGCCCAGCTTCTTTTTTTTTTTAGGTCCTTTTCTAATGCTCTCCCTTGTCCCACCCAACTCTCCAACAAGCCCCAGTGTGTGTTGTTACCCTGCCTGTGTCCATTTGTTCTCATTGTTCACCTTCCACTTTCAAATGAGAACATGTGGTGTTTGTTTTTCTGCTCCTCCATTAGTTTGCTAAGGATAATGGCTTCCAGCTCTATCCATGTCCCTGCAAAGGACATTATATTCCTTTTTATGGCTGCATAGTCTTCCATATTGTATATGTACATCATTTTCTTTATCAAGTTTATTATTGATGGGCCTTTGGGTTGATTGCATGTCTTTGTTATTGTGAATAAAGATGCAATGAACATACACATGCATGTATCTTTGTCATAGAATGATTTATATTCCTTTGGGTATATAACCAATAATGAGATTGCTAGGTCAAATGATATTTCTGGTTCTAGATTTTTGAGGAATTGCCACACTGTCTTCCACAATGGTTGAACTGATTTACATTCCCACCAACAGTGTAAAGTGTTTCTATTTCTCTGCAACCTCACCAGCATCTTTTGCTTCTCCACTTTCTAATAATCACCTCATTCTGACTGGCATGAGATGGTATCTCATTGTGGTTTTGATTTGCATGTTTCTAATGATCCGTGATGTTGAGCTTTTTTTCATGTGTTTGTTGGCTACATGAATGTCTTTTTTTGAGAAATGTCTGTTCATGTTCTTTGCCCACTTTTTAATGGTTTTTTTTTTTTGTAAATTCATTTAAGCTCCTTGTAGATTTGGATATTAGACATTTGTCAGCTGGATAGATTGCAGAAATTTTCTCCCACTCTTTAGGTTGCCTGCTCTCTGATAATCATTTATTTTGCTGTGTAGAAGCTCATTAGTTTAATTAGATCCCATTTGTCAATTTTTGCTTTTGTGGAGTTTGCTTTTGGTAATTTTGTCATGAAATCTTTGCCTGTGCCTATGTCCTGCATAGTATTACCTTGTTTTTCTTCTAGAGTTTTTATAGTTTTGGGTTTTCCATTTAAGTCTTTAATCCATCTTGAGTTAATTTTTGTATAAGGTGTAAGGAAGGGGTTCAGTTTCCATTTTCTGCATATGGCTAGCCAGTTCTCCCAACACCATTTATTAAACAGGTAATCCTTTCCTCGTTGCTTGTTTGTATCATGTTTGTCAAAACTCAGATGGTTGTAGAGGAGTGGTCTTATTTCTGCATTCTTTATCCTGTTCCATTGGTCTATGTGTCTTTGTCTATGTGTCTTTTTTTTTTTTTTTTTTTGGACAAGTATCATGCTGTTTTGGTTATTGTAACTTTTTAGTATAGTTTGAAGTCTGGTAGTGTGATGCTTTCAGCTTCGTTATTTTTGCTTAGGATTGTCTTGGCTATACAAGCTATTTTCTGGTTCCATATGGATTTTAAAATAGTTTCTTCTAAATCTGTAAAGAATGTCCATGGTAGATTAATGGGAATAGCATTACTTTAAATTACTTTGGGCAGTATGGCCATTTTCATGAGATTGATTCTTTCTATCCATGAGCATGGAATGTTTTTCCATTTGTTTGTGTCCTTTCTGATTTCCTTGAGCAGCTGTTTGTAGTTCTCCTTGAAGAAGTCCTTCACTTCCCTTGTTAGCTATAATCCTAGGTATTTTATTCTCTTTGTAGCAATTGTGAATGAGAGTTCATTCATGATTTGGCTCTCTGCTTGCCTGTTGTTGGTATGTAGGAATGCTTGTGACTTTTGCACATTGATTTTGTATCCTGAGACTTTGTTGAAGTGGCTTATCAGCTTAAGAAGCTTTTGAGCTGAGAGGATGGGGTTTTCTAGATATACGATCATGTCATATGCAAACGAAGACAATTTGACTTCCTCTGTTCCTATTTGAATAACCTTTATTTCTTTCTCTTGACTGATTGCCCTGGCCAGAAGTTCCAATACTATGTTGAATAGGAGTGGTGAGAGAGGTGATTCTCGTTTTGTGCCCGTTTTCAAGGGGAATGCTTCCAGCTTTTGGCCATTCAAGTATGATATTTGCTGTAGGTGTGTCATAAATGGCTCTTATTATTTTTAGGTATGTTCCTTCAATACCTAGTTTATTGAGTGTTTTTAACATAAAGGGATGTTGAATTTTATTAACGGCCTTATCTGCATCTATTGAGATAATCATGGTTTTTGTCTTTAAATCTGTTTATGTGATGGATTACGTTTATTGATTTGTGTATATTGAAGCATCCTTGTATCCCGCAGATGAAGTCAACCTTATTGTGGTGGATAAGCTTTTTGATGTGCTGTTGTATTCAGTTTGCCAGTATTTTATTGAAAATTTTTGCATTAATGTTCATTAGGGATATTGGCCTGAAATTTTCTTTTTTGTTGTTGTTGTATGTCTGCCAGGTTTTTGTATCAAGATGATGCTGTCGTCATAAAAGGAGTTTCTCCCTTTTGATTGTCTGGAATCATTTCAGAAGAAAGGGTGCCAGTTCCTCTTTGTATTTCTGGTAGTATTCAGCTGTAAATCCATCTGGTCCTGGGCTTTTTTTGGTTGGTAGGCTATTTATTATTGCCTCAATTTCAGAACTTGTTTTTGGTCTCTTCAGGGATTCAGCTTCTTCCAGTTCAGTCTTGGGAGGGTGTATGTGTCCAGGAATTTATCCTTTTCTTCTAAATTTTCTAGTTTATTTGCATATAAGTGTTTATAGTATTTTCTGATGGTTGATTGTATTTCTGTGGGGTCAGTGGTGATATTTGGTTTATCATTTTTTATTGTGTCGATCTGATTCTTTTCTCTTTTCTTCTTTATTAGTCTAGCTAGTGGTCTATATATGTTCTTATTTTTTTCAAAAAACCAGCTCCTGAATATATAGGCACAAATTACAGGAGCACTCAGATTTATAATACAAGTTCTTAGAGACCTACAAAGAGACTTAGACTCCCACACAATAATAGTGGAAGACTTTAATACCCCACTGTTAATATAAGACAGATCATCAAGACAGAAAATTAACAAAGATAGTCAGGACTTGAACTCATCTCTGGATCAAGTTGACCTGATAGATATCTACAGAACTCTTCACCCCAGAACAACAGAATACATGGTCTTCTCAGCACCCCGTGGCACTTACTCTAAAATTGATCATATAAATTCCTCAGCAAATGCAAAATAACTGAAATCATGACAAAAAGTCTCTCAGCCCACAGTGTAATCAAATTAGAAATCAAGATTAAGAAAATCACTCAAAACCACACAACTACATGGAAATTGAACAAATTGAATGACTCCTGAGTAAATAATGAAATTAAGGCAGAAATCAAGAAGTTATTTGAAACCAATGAGAACAAAGAGACAACAAACCAGAGTCTCTGGCACGCAACTAAAGCAGTGTTAAGATGGAAATTTATAGCACTAAATGCCCATATCAGAAAGCTAGAAAGATCTTGGATGGACACCCTAACATCACAACTAAAAGAACTAGAGAACCAAGAGCAAACAAACCCCAAAGCTAGCAGAAGACAAGAAATAATCAAGATCAAAGCAGAACTGAAGGAGATAGAGACACAAAAAATCCTTAGAGCCCAACTTCTACTTCCTGATCCTTATTTCTAAAGGAAGAAATATCGTGGTCCCACAGAATGCAATGTGATCTCATGATGATTAAATAGGAGACTTGTGAAATGCCAGTGTCTCAGAAATTAACTAAGCATCTCCCATGCATACTCTGTGTATTCTGGTACCCAAAGGCATTATATATTATTTGTTCTTCAAAGGATCATTTATAATATTGCCTGCTACCACATGCAGTTCATATATAGAGAGAGAGGATGAGGTAAATAAATTTAGAAAACATTTCTTTAAAAATAGCATGCTTGAGATATTTAGACATTGTCAAGTAAATATTTAAAATAATATAATAAGTAAATCCATCAAAAATTACCTATTTTTCAAAGGAGGTTGCCAAACTATAAAGCCACTTTATAGCTTTTACTGCACTTGTAATTATCCACTGTGTAATTAGCCCTTTCATATGACAAAGAATGACAGCTTTATAGTTATTCTCATCGTGCATGTACCAAAAATTTTTATTTTTGGAGATAGTTTTATAAATTATGTGCCAGTTGTTGCTAATATTGAATTGAAGGCAAGTCTTACCTCCCTAGAAAGTCTTATTTAGGCAGATTATGTAACTCAACATGATGACTATCATCTGTTTAAATATATGTGCTTATATATGTACATATCCACACACAAATACGTGTACACATATACATATATGCAGCTGCTCTTACAGATTCTATAGGCACTATTTGAGAACTATACAAATACAGAAGCCCTAGAAAACATGTTTACTTTATACAATGTTAGAGTAGAATCTCTCCCTACAACCTGCTCAAATTGGATTTTTAACATGTTTTCCTTTATTGAAATGAATATAAAATGTAAATAATGGAACATTGGGTTATTTAAGAAAATCAAGAGCAAAAATTAGTCATTGATTAATAAATCTAATTATTTACAATATTTGTAGTAAAAATGTGTGGGTATATAATTCAAAAAAAGGAAAGTCATTTTTAAAAATGTGCTATGTACTTAGTAAAAACATTACAGGATGTCTGTCAATGCTGATATCTCTTCAATTTCTGACTTTTTGATCTTCATCTATACTTGTACACCTTGTTAGTAACTGATAAGCTGACATTTTAAGTATATTTAAATAAAGCTAGTGAAATGTCTAGATCTCACTGTATTAGGTAGTTGTGCTGCTTTGTAGTCTATTTTTTCTCTTTTTTCTTATTTGTAAGATAGTATTCTTGCAAACAAATCACAATTGTTTGTCCATTCTGAATGGATGAATTTCTACATTCAAATCAGATCACTTTTAATGCTCTAATCTTAAACAACAGAGAATAGCTAATGTGTCAGACATGAGATTCCTGTGATGGCTGAATAAAGCCAACTGCGGTATGCCAGTACCAGAGTAAAGACATTGACATTAAAATTCAGACGGTATGGCCTACAGGTAGATATCAGTCTGAAGGAAAAAGATGAACGTGAATGTCAGCAAATGAAATAAATCGTTGGTCAAAGATTCACAACTGTTATTTCAGAGTAACGCAGGAAAGTCGTAACTAAGGGCTACATCACCTGACAAAACTGTCTAAAGCTTTAACAAGGATAAAATAATAAAAACACAATTTCCTAGATTTTCTGTATCTCACTAGGGGTCCTACACTGAACTAAACACTTGCTTTTCATTCAGTATCTAAATTTATCTTTCAGCAAGCCTATGAGATTGGCATCTAATAGATTATAAAACCAAAGCTCACTGTAGGTAAATGGTAAAAGTCAGATTAAAATACAAATTAATCCTGACTCCAAACTATCCCAGATAGTTTAGGACCACATGTGGAAGTAAAAAAGGGATGTTCAATTGGATAGGTCAGTTTTCAATAATGCCATCTAACAGGTGATAAGGTCAGGAAGGTTAATAGGATCAGTTAGTAAGCAGAACATTGGAATTATGAGTGAGTGTATTTGTTTCCTACTGCTATGGTAAAAAATTACTATAAATATATTGATCTAAAACATCTTCCTTAGACGTCTGAAGTCTGAAAGGGTCTCACCAGTCTAAAACCAAGGTGCAAACAGGGCTGTGTTTCTTTCTGGAGACTCATGGAACGAATTCATCTTCTTGCCTTTTCTAGCTTCTAGAGACTGTCTTCGTTCCTGTGTGATGACCCCCTTCCACCCTTAAAGAAAGCAACGACCAGTTGAGTCTTTCTTACACCTTGTCACTCCAACACAAACTCTCCTTCTCTTCCACATTTAAGGATCCTGTGATTACATTTGATCCTGAAAATCCATGATAATCTCCCTTTTTTAAGGTCAGTTGATTAGAAACCTTGCCTTCATCTGCTAAATTTAGTGTCTTTTTCTATTTAACCTATTCACAGATTCCAGGGATTAACCCATTTATGCCTGAAGATGCAATATTTTGAATTTTGAAATTAGACATTGGCGATGACATTGAGCAGTAGGATATAAATAAATCCCTCATGCTTAGCATTCCAATAATGAAACACTAGGAATAAATGGGTTTTAAGATGTAGACATCTTTGGGAAACCATTAGTCTGACAGAACAGTAAGGAAGTCATTAGAGTCTGAACAGCAATTGTCAGGGCCCAGGAACCATGAACCTGAGATGCAAGATTGAAATTCAGCAATGTAAAATCATGCTACGCAAGTCAATGTTGGGTAAGCTAAGGGTTCTTGAATATTTTTCTGTGGTGAATTATTGAAATAGGGCTATTAAAACTTTCTTTTAGGATCCAAGAAAACATGTGCAAACCAAAAGTCTGTAAACACGTTTTGATGGACCACATTAACACTTCTACATTGAGGTTTCTGAATTTTTTGCATAACTGGCAGCTTTGTGCCTATAATTCTCCCAAAACACTGTAGATAAATAGTGGCTGCCTGCTTCCTACGATACATATACTTTCCCCAAATTCTTACTACTCTCACTGTTTCCTGACACAGTGGTTTGTGTCTATTGTTATTTGTGATGCCTCATCAAACATTTACATTTTTGTATAGAAAAGAAGATCTCTTCAATGATGGGGAAATAAAAGGTGAACCAAAAAGACACGCATCTTTAGAAATATAGAGCATGTTTCTCTAATAATAAAATCAATAATAAGTTCATCTTACAGCCAGCCAGCTTCATTCATTTATACGACCTGTTTTTCCCCTATGGAATTTTGAGTTTGCGACCCTCAATCTCTGTATGGTTGGTGCATAAGCGTGCCTTCTGGGGATTTAGGAGAAAGTTGGCGTGATACTATACCTGGCTGCAATGTAGCTTTTCCAATTACAGGCAAATTTTGTAAGAACATTCATCTAATGATTTTAGCTGGAAACTTTCCCCAGCAAAGTAGAATTAAATGTTTCTATCAAATATATACTGCGGTGAAATCACACTACATTTCTTTATTGAAAGCTTTTCATAGACTTTTAAAATGTTTTTATAATTGTATCTTATAAAGTAAAAGTAATGTCTAGGTCAAAAGCTAGACCATGAAATTGGAATTATAGCCAAGGGAAATATTTAATGAGTGAATTTAAGAATTTGATGCAAATTAGAAATGAAGCCAATTTTAGATATCAGGAAATAAAGCCCACAAGTTATAAAAGGTGATGAAATGGATTAAAAATAACTCTATTAAAAATAAATCCATCACAAAGTATCACGCTACTGATTGTTAGACATAGAGTTTTATCATATTTGTTCATTAACTTTTTAAGCATATGTTCATCCATCTATGTATTTAGGATTTATTGAATATTCTGAAAGACATATAGATTAATAAGAAGTGGAAGTTCTAACAAACATGTAGTAGATCTGTTTTTCTTTTTTGTTCATTATATTCTTTAGCTTCTTTAACATTTTCCACACCTGTATATGTCCCAGTATGACATTCTGGATGATATAGCCACTGAGGACACAATTTTATTTTTTAACTGTAATTAAATCATAGGATTTAAAAAAATAACAATGACTCATTTGTTTCTAAAATATATTTGCAATTTTGCTAAGCTGTCTTTCAAAGGTACTTGTTCTTATTTCATGTTCTATAATTTATTTTTGACACATATATTTTATTTTATATGTTTAGTCATCTAAAACATATATGTTACAATGTTTTTCAAATGGTTCCATCACTTCTGATTATTTAAAAGCAAATATCAAGTTTTCTATTTCTATTTACCATCTTCCTTTGATTTTTTTAATTTTAATTTTAATTTTTGGACATCTTTTTTAAAGCAATATTGTTAGTTCTTATTCAATGAGACTGGTTTCCTCTCAGACTGCTATGATCCCTGAGTTGTGAAAAGTTTTAAAGAGATGATTTTGTTTCCTTTTCAAGAGCTCTAAGGAAGTAAACCATTCTGTTTTATGTTAATCGATTGGCTTGGGCTCTTAACATCATGCTGCAGTATTAATTTGGAGTCTGCAACTACGCATGACGCAGGACTAAGACTTCTATTTTTCACCAGTGATTTATTTCCCCTATGCATGGTTATGACAGATTTCAAATATCCTTGTCCACCTGGCCTATAAGCAGAGAATAACAGATCACTTTTCATTGATGGGGCAGCTCTTCAGGGTGGAGTTGAGTGGCTAAGGCTTGGCAACTATTTGCCAAGTTGTGGATGAATGCTTCTGTCTTGAGCTTGATCCAACAGGACCTAGACAAGTATAAGACCCATTCAAGCCTCCTCAACATTAGCACTTTTCTGATAATTACTTCATTATTTGTTGTGAAAGCTGTGTATTTCCATTTATTTCCTCTGAAAAAGGGTGCATTTAAATATCGGTTTAAAATATCGTCATAAATAATTATTTGTTTTTTCTATATGTTTCCAGAGAGGCAAGTTTACAGAAGATACAATTACTCCTGTTGCTGAAGTACCTAAACCTGTGGATTTTTATTAATTTAGATACTTTTTTGAGCTACCTCTAGTAGGTTAAATGATTCTGGTTATCAAATTGTAGTGTTATTTATATACTACTATTACAACTATTTTAAGGAAAAGTTAACATAATTCAAAAAATAAAGCAGTTATCTTCTTAAAGTCTGGACATATAATTTTTAAGCTGTATTGTTATGTCCCTGGAGACAAATATATAATTATTGAAATCATTTCTGTAATTAACTCAGTTCTCTAACCTATTGTGAAATTTACTTTGATATTTCCAGACCAGTGAAGTTCCATGCGAGTTAGTTGTGGTAAAGCTCTAGTGAAGTGTAGGTCACTCAGTTGACTTAAAACAGCAGACAACTCTGGTTACTTATCACAGACAGAAATGCAAACTGTAACTCTTACTTCTTAAAAAAAAAAGACATAAATATGTGCACATATATATCTCCATGTAGGCCTAAGATATACAATGAAATAGCCCTAAATCTGCATTAATTTGGGGGAGTTTTGGAAGTATTGAAAATACTGTATTTGATACTATTACAACTTTATTTCCATTGGTCTCATTATAGAACTTTCCTTCAATTTAGTTTCAAATTCTGTCCAATTCTTAATAAAAATGGCACTCATTTAGAAGCAATGATATCTATCATACAATAAAACTAAGTTCCACATAGTCAAATTATGAGATGATTTAAGTCAACTGTACTGACAGTTAATTGTAATATATTTTGTTAAGTAAGAGTGTTCTTTTTTCCTCTCTCTAGTTTCCCACAAGTTTAGGCAAGATTAAAGGCTCCAAAAAAACACTCCAAAAGCTAATTGGAAGAACTATAAAGTAAACCAAATCCAACATTCTTATTAAGTTAGAAGTAGTCAAATCTCTCCATCTAGAGAAAAGATTAAAGGCTAAGTAGAAGGATTTTGAAGGGCTCTTGACACCAGAATGCCCTCAAGTCCCAAGCACCAAGGCTAGATCCATGTATGGAGCTGTGAATGTAAGACTTTAACAGAAAAGATTTCTTGCCACACAAGAAAAATATTCTGCATCACTTGACACTCACACTCTTTATACAACCCTAAATGATTTCGACGCTAAGAAAAGGTTCAAGCTGAATTAAGGGGCCCTGTATTCTTCAAATCTGGAAGATGAATAAGGATTAGACTAAGCAGTTAAAAATGACTGAGATAAGTACATACCTATACACGGTTATTTGGATTTCTTTAACTCAGTCTAATCATGCATGATTTTACAAATAGAGTGATTAAAATGTCACTCAGCTATTTTTTAAGGTTTTATTTTTATAAAATACTGTCATTGAAGAAAATGATATGGATTTTAACTTGGTTAAACAAATAGTTTTTTCCATATTACTCTTAATTTTCACTCATCACATCTATTAGTCTTTAGATTTCTGAAATAAAACAACTACTGTACCTCCTATATGCATATGCAAATTAATAAGCTTGAGTAAATCATGGCTTCTTTGAGCCTCATGTTTGGTATCTACAGAATAATCATGGCAGTATCTGAATCAAAGGGTTATTGTGAAAATAAAAATGAGATTGTCTAGGGGGCACTGTAAAAACCGTAAAAGTACTAGGCTTTAAAACTGTCTCTAAGAAGACAAACTTCAGTTTTTCCCTCTTTACAGTTCACTTTGTATACTGTTTAGTAAAGTATCAACTACACTGTGATGGTTCTCAAGATATAAGACGCACAGAACAATGAGATCACGTTGAACAGGAACTTTACCCAGAAGGTGGTGGCGCACCGAGGAATACACAAGGTGGGCGGTCTTCGTCCAAAGTATCCAGAAGGAAGATTGTTGAACAGAGACTTAACGGCAAGAACAAGTGTCCTAAATAACACACAGAAGGAGAAACAGAGTTTTACACAAATGAAACAGTCATAGGAAATGATGAAAAGCCAAATGAGTTTCTGTAAAAGATTCGAAGTGTTAGAGTGCAGGAAGAAGGTTGAAAACCTATGAACAATGAGATTAGAATCGTAGGCAAGTGGCCAATCAGGAAAAAGCTGACAGAGATAATACATGGAAATTTGCATATTACCCTTACGTGATTTTAGACAAGGGAGTGCCAAGATTTTTTACCTTATAAAAGAGATAACTGTTGCTGCAAAGTAGAGATATTGGATATTGGATTGAGGGGGAACAAAACTAAAAATGGGAAGTAGCAGGTGTTGAAATAATCTTGACAAGAAATGACAAGAGCATGAACTAAGGTAGGGGCAGTAGAGATACTACCTGTGTTGGTTTCTTGAGGGATGAGGAAAAAAGAAAAGGCTCTGTTTTGCATACCTGAATGACTAGTGGTGCCATACAAAGTTAAAAAAAATGTAATTAAATATGCTGTATTAATTAGAATTATTTTTTGCTGGATAGTGACAGGAGACCCCAAATAATAGTAACTTAACCAAGACAGAGGCTTGTCTCATATAAAAGTTCAATTACATGTCCATAGCTGGTAGAGTTCATCACAGCGTCAGGAACTAAGGCTCCTTTGATCTTGTTGCTCTGTTTTACATGGCCTCGGCTCTCGGATCAATCTCATAATCTAGTATCACTTAGTCAGCTCCAAATTCAACTATAGTAGCTGTATTTCAGACAGCAGAAGACAGAATAGAGTCGAAGATGGCTTGCTTGTGCTATTCACATATACATACTGGAAGTTTCACATTCCTGCTTCCACCCCATTGGCCAATACTTAGTCACGAGGCTACAATGACCTACCAGTGAGAATGAAAAAACGTAGATTTTATTCCCGTTGCTTATGAGCCTGGAAATATTTTGGATATTTTATTACTAAGGAACAAGGGATAACTAGCTATCTCTGCCACAGCCAAGTTCTGTTAAGTTTGATATCTTTGGAAGGCAAGCACAAGATATCTGGAAGGTAGCTGATCATACAGGTTCACAAATCAGAAAAGAGATCTGAAATGAAGATGACAATATGTGGTGGTTAAAGAGATGTAGATTAAAGAGATCACAAAGAAAAGTGTATAGAGTGAAAGAGGGCTGTTGAGAAAGCTGAGAAATATCCACTGATGAATTTCTTTGAAATTCTCTGTCAGTTTCTGGGCGTCTGTTCTCTGCTAGTTTTTTCTCAGCTTAGGTTTTTTTTTTTTTTTTTTTTTTTTTTTCCATAAATCCTACTTTGCTTGTTGAGAGTGATTGTCCCAGAACTTTTGGTACTTGATTCTCTAATCTCCTTTATTTACATTCATTCTGGTAGTGTGTGTACTCAAGTGGATTTAACCACCACCAATATGCTGATGTCCCTTATTCATATCCTGCTTCCTATGATCCACTCTTCAGAGGATATGCAACATCTGCCTAGAATATCCCTATTCAGATCCCTCATTCACATATAATATCTAATATGCCTTTTAAAAAATCTTCATTCTTGTCTGAGCACATAGCGTCATTCCCCTGAACTATTTGTAGACCCATGAACAATTATTCACTATCTTTGTGCTTCAGATAATTGTAACATTTTCTTAGATGTTAATTTTTTATAGTATAAAAGTTGAAATTCCCTGGAGAAGTAATTACAACTCCAATTTCTTTCTAACCTTTAATGTGCTGAGTACATAGTATATTATATAAAATAAATATTTATAAGTATAAAATAAAAGGATACAAATATGGACCCTAAGAAGTGATATAAAAAAGTAATATCGGCCGGTCGTGGTGGTTCACGCCTGTAATCCCAGCACTGTGGGAGGCCAAGACAGGTGGATTACCTGAGGTCAGGAGTTCAAGACCAGCCTGGCCAACATAGTGAAACCTTGTCTCTACTAAAAATACAAAAATTAACTGGGCATGGTGGTGGGTGCCTGTAATCCCAGCTACTCAGGAGGCTGAGGCAGGAAAATCGCTTGAACTCAGAAGGCAGAGGTTGCAGTGAGCCAAGATCATGCTATTGCACTCCAGCTTGGATGAAAAGAGCGAAACTCCATCTCAAAAAAATGTATATATTTGAAATTTTTCATGTGAAAACATTGGACTTTAGTAGCAGAAATAACACTATATGTGTATATATATATGTACATATATAGACTTCTGTTTTCTCTATATATATGTACACATATACATATATGTCAGCAACTGTTAGAAAAACATCATATATATCAGCAGTTAGTATACATATATATCAGCAACTAGTTTTGTTTTTCAATAAATTGATATATGATGAGTATGCATGGTAGTATTCTTCACCTTACAGAAATTATATTCTGACAGGAAAATAGTGCTTGGTTTTGCTAGCCAGATTAAGTGCATCACACTAATACCTTATATAGAATTCATATATATACCAATTCATTTTACATCAATATAAATAAAACACTCTGATGATTCTTTTCTAAACACATCCTGTATATTATTTACTAGATAGGGACCTAAGAAGAAACCCTGAATGTAAGAGCACATCTTGTGCTTAAGGAACTTTCAGTTTGAATAAGAAAACAAGGGACACAGACATGGGATATAATCTCAGTTTGTTCTAAGTAAACTACAAGTAATAAGTGAGGAAATAATTTGATGGAAGGAGTAACCTCTGTAGGTTTGGAAAGACTGCACCAAGCATGTGAGTCAGGACTTAAACTCTAAAAATTCTGTGTAAAAGAAATTGAAGAAAGGGTATTCCAAGAGAGACAAGCAACGAAAGGGTTTTCCAAGAGAGACAAACAATGTATATGGGGGTGTGGTGAACACAGTAAAGAAAGCAGTACTGTGAGGGTGACTAAACTCAAGCAGGGCAGTCATGCTTGTATTTCTGTTTGACCAATTTTTTTTTTTACTAAGAATAATGTCTCTAAAAATTTTACTATTTATATTATTAAACCGATAACTGTATTTCTTTTCAAAAGGACATACCCTTGCCTTTCTGATTCCACAGGGATTTTGCAAAAACAATATATTGTCCACTTACAAGTTTTCTTAAATTTATACTCTACGTTTGTATTAATATGCTGCTACCTCATTTGTAATAAAAATTAGGAGATAAGACTTTAGAAATATTTTTGTTGCCTAATTATATAGCGTCAGGGGAAATATTGATGACACATCAGACATGTAATGAATGCATATCAAAAATAATTAATTATATAAGAAGGCAATCCAAGGTAATAAAGAGTCTTTAAATGGAAAAAGCAAAGATAGTGTCAGTCAAATTTCATTATTACTTAATTCCACATGACTCTATAGCAAAATCTGCTACTCATGTGGAATATCTATTAACTTTAGCAGGTGTTATGCATAACTAGCTGAGGGCAGTTTCTAGTCCACTGAGTACAAGCATAACTCCTAAATTGATAAGCCTGAGTGGAACTCCTTGCAATATTCAAAGGAATTTATCGACATTAATTAGAAATTTTATAAAAGGACTCCAGAGCCCAAAAGATTGTTTTCTTTTTTCCTCGTTCAAACAAACTACATATACATATAGTATTTTTAATAACAATGCATAACTCTTTTATAAACAGCAGTATATTTCTATTCCTATTTGGCCATAAAATTCTCCAGAGATAATCTAAGTTAAAACTTATTGCCTTTTTAGGACTTTGTTTCACTATTTCAGTGGCAGTTGTTGTATGAATTTCTATCAAATTTCACCACCCAACACTTTAACTTTACTCCTTACAATTGTAAAAGCAAACTAAATGTGGCCTGAGAAGGACTCCGTACTTTTATGTTTGAGTCCTTGTGGGTGAACTGTAACCTAGCTTAATAGACAAGATTGGAAACTGAGTTTAGGATTATGCACCTGTAACAACAGCTAAGTCTTGGCCAATCCCAGCAGCCATACTTCAATCATTCATACACCGTTGAGTGTGTAAACTGTGCTCAAATAAGGCATATGCTGAGTTGTAACCAATCCAGCCGTTCTGTACCTCACTTCCAATTTATGTGTATCATTTCCCTTTTTTAGGTCTATAAATCATCTTCCACCACATGGCTGCACTGGAGTCTCTGTGAATCTCCTGTGATTCTGGGGGCTGCCTGATTAGTGAATTGTTCATTGCTCAATTAAACTCGTTTAAATTTAATTCAACTGAAGTTTTTCTTTTAACACAATTATTAAAGTGTTTTGGTCAAACATGAAAGTAGGGTTTGCATGCCTGCTGTTGAGCAGCTTTAGCTATTGTTTATATCCAATGTTTAATCTTGAAAAACACTAGCAAAATTTGCTAACACAGGTAGATGTATCAGAGAACAAAATTATGATATGAAAAGATAGATTTTATATGTAACAAGGCATACCTAGTAGACCAGGTATTTGCTTTGTAGTGTAATTAGATCCAGTGATATATATAATTGGCTACAGTTTTAAAAATATTCTATGCTATTGTTTTTCTATTGCTAGGAGTTAGCATATTTATGGAATACCAAGTAGCTATAAGTCCATTTTGAAAGAAACTTGGGATCAATAAAATAAATATAATACATAAGCCATGGTTTCTGGAAGCTCAGAGATAAATGGGAAAATATGACAGATGTGAATAACTGAATTTTGTTGTTGTTTATTATAAGTATAATGAGAGATATAATTGAAAAAGGTATAAAAGTTATATGAATATAGATATATAAAATCTTGTTTTTAATCATATACCATTTTATTAATTTAAAGACAATCTTGACTGTTATTTCATAAGTTTTGTTCAATTTTATATTATTTATCTAGATTGTATTAAAGAAATAATTTAGGGGCAGTTATTTAGAAATCTGAATTTTAAAATAACAGGTTAAATAGCCCCTTTAAATATTTCAGGCGTTTTTCCTAGTGTTTATAAACTGAGCTTCCTAAAAATAGTTGCAACCTAGTTTTTATTTGACCGTCTTCATTTGCTGTAATAATTTTAGAGTTACTATGCTTCAATGTTAACTTACTTTTCATCTGAAGGGAAGGGTTGAGCTACTCTGTTAATGATAAAACAACTATGATTATTTTGCATTTTTAAAAAGTGCATACAAATCTTTTAATCTCTGCCTACACCCATCAGAACAATTGCCTTCCAATGTAATTATATTCAAAATGCAAGTGAGATAATAAGTATCTTGGAATTTAGCTTGATAAATATTCATTTGCCTTATAGGAAAAAGAGATGAACATTCTCATATAATTAGCTGCATATTTTTAAACCATGCTTTCGTTGAGTTTTTTGAGACATATTTTATGTATGCAAATCTGCTAATTTATACAGTAAAGGAGGTAAGGAGGATGGAAAAAGCAAGAAATCAGAAATATTCATTCCCATTCTGCCCTTCCTTCTGGGGAATAGGTTTCCTAATTATAAGAGAGAAATCATTTCTTCCTCCAAACTCAGATTCTTTATTTTATTGAACCTAAGCTGTGAGAGCCCTTAATTATAAAACCAGACTTATCTATCTTGGTTGCTTTAGAAAATCCTTGTCTTTTTTTTAAAGCTCTACAGCAGAGAATTAAGGCACTAGTAAGAGAATATGTTTCCAATCTTAGGAGATGCACTAGGCTTCTTCACAGCTTTGAGGTCTCACACCACGAACAAGCACACCAAGATCTGCAATTGAGCCAAGTTGCACATTATTTGACTCAGCACACGACTACTAAAGCACACATTTATTAATTCCAATGGGCTGAATACTTGACATATAATAATTCATACTTACATTTTTAACACGTCAACAGTTTACAAATTGTGTAGGTGCGTATCATTGCAGGCAACGTCCTAAGAGCACCTCTGGTGTTCTTATGCCATTTTGAGGACGAGGATGCCAAGATGTCAGATGATTGTCCTAGGAACCCACAACAGGCATAACTGAACTGAGACATGAAATCCAGTGGTTTTCTCTCTATAACTACTGCTCTGAAGTATTCTGTGAGATAATAGCTTTGACAAAAATTGCATCTACAACTAATCAATTTCTAATGAAATTTTGAAAAAGTGTTTTCATGGAAAGAAAATGAGTGATTTTCTTTACGGTTTCTGTATCTCCACCTTCCATGAACTTTATAATTGCCTCAATTTGCTGTACTAATTTTCTGTTTCATTGGTCCTCAGGTTTTATTTTGTTTTCACTTCAGAGTTAATGGTTTATAACATTTTTACCACTATCAAAATTTGATCAGCATTATCGTAAAGTCAACAGACAGAATGCACACCAGTATTTTAATTATGTTGATGCCTAAAGTATATTTTAAAAGTTGAATACATAAGTTATTAATAAAATAAACAAGTATGATACATGCATACATTATTGATTCATTTTAGTGATAAAATTATAATTTGAAGAATGTGTACCATAAAGATATTTTATGAAGCTTTTATTTGAAGAAATAGAATTTTGTTACCAAGCCACAATATTTCACTGTGAAAAGTTAAATACTCTCCAGCCTGAGTGACCAGAAAATTAGCCCCAGAAAGAAGATTCCACTCCCCTATTATAAAGTGTCTCTCATTTTAGAGGATTGCGCTTTTGAATTCCAAACTGAAGCTTAGAGATGGTTGCCTTTTCCTTTTAATGAAAAAGTCCTTAGAAGGCTTGTTTGTAGTGGCAGTAAAAAGCAGATTGCACTAAATGTATTTTATTCCTGCAGAGCTGAGATCAGCACATGCATTACTCTATCTATCCAGAAAATGATATGTCATACTCTATATTGCAACTTAATAACATTCTTCACTTCCCCCACCTCCCCTTTCTGTGAAACCCTCAGCACCTGGGAAGGTTTCATGCTTCTTTTTATCAGACTCTGAAGTACCTGTACTTTGGTCAGATCCCTCGAAGCCTAATGAGCCTGTGGAGGAGCTGAGATACTGGGTCGAGATAAATGGAAATATTTTCAGACTACGAGTTCCAGTCAGAGTAAATGCTGAAAACGAACAAGAGTCTTCAAATTGACAATCTTCAGGGTGAGAAAGAATATACTTGAAGGGTGAGATTTCATTTCTACTACTCCTTAGATTTGCTTCATTTTCTCTGACATTTTCTCACAGTCTACAGTGACATCTGGTTGCTGCAGTGGTAACAATGGTTCCTGAACTGATCAGTTAAATTGAGCAAGCCAGGCATTGCTTTCATTCACTTTCAAGTAACCCAGCTGGAGTCCGGCGGACCTCATGAGATTGCTGCTATTACAATTATTATTATTGTTACTTTATGTTAAAAGTCCTATCTTTCAAATGCTATGCATAGAAAACACAAACTGAGTGTCATCTGGACCAGAATAACGTAGAAGGCTTTATTTATTTATTTATTTATTACATCTAAACAGTGCCTAAGCATTTACATTTCTGGCATAAAGGTTTTTGAGTTATTTGTTCTTACATTTTTTTTTTTAGTATTCATTTTAGTATTCATTTTGGAGAACTTTGACAAACAGAAAAGCACAGAGGAAGAAAATCATTCCAAGTCCCACCACCCCAGAGATAGCCACTCTTATCAGTTTTTATTTTATTTGCAGCCTTCTAACCAAACACTATTTTTCAATGTGGGCTTTTTCTTTATTTAAATAAATATAATTTGAGGCTTCTGTCTTATACAGATTATTTAATAAATTTTATAAAGAGTAGAAATTTTTAAACCTATTAAATGGGATACTAATTATTATAATATCAAGAGGATTTCTTAATAAGGTATTTTACCTATAAGGCAGTCTGCTAGCAAAGATGACAATTCTCTATTGCTTAGCAGTTTTGTGAGCTATTTTATGGTAAGATAAAATGTTCATCTCTCTTTTCCTTCTTATGATAATACCACATAAAACTATATTAAATAATCCTTATATCACTACATTAATACCCAGCTGAAACAGCCTTTGAGAAAACTCACTCCCTTGGCACTTACCAGCTATTCTATTTCTTTTTCCTGTTTCCCTCCCTTAAAAAGGCAATATTCTTAAGGAAGATCCTATAAACAACTTGAGAAGGTAGGGAACAAGATGTTTCATCTATTTTTGGTAACAAGACATGTATGTGCATATAGGGAAATTAAAAACAAAGAAAGAAATCTCCAGGCTAGTGGTGGAAAGAGTCCCTATGCGAGTCTCTACGTGGTCTTGGCAGGCATTCTCTAATTGCAGACTGAAGCTTTCCCTTCCTGGCACCAGCTATGAATTAAGGTAGGCAGATAACAAAGATTGGTGGCTTAGGGACTCCTACAAAGTCTGCAGACTTAAGTATATCCTTCTGGAATGGTCATCATTCTAAACACATCAGACACATGCTTTAACTGAAGGTTTGGCACTTGCAGCTCTCTCTTCCTGGAACACGCTTTTCTGAGATTCACATAGCTACTCGCTCACCTCCTTCAGGTCTCTACTGAAATGTCGCCTTCTCAGCGAGGCCTTCCCAGAACCTCCATCTAAAATTGCAGCACCTCACTGCTGTGTCATACCCTGCCAACTGTCTGTTACTCTTAATCACTTAAATCCATCTAACCTATACCATGTTTAAGTATTTCTTAAATATTGTTTTCTTCCAGAAAAAAATTGTATAAGGGCATAGATTTTTGCCTATGATTTTAGTCCTACATGCTCAAAGTTTAGAAAAGTGTTGGACAAACACGATAGTCACCTAATAAATAGCTTTATAATGACTGAATAAATAAATTGAACTTTATACCTCATTAAGAGGAGCTCTGAATTCAGATCTTCAGATGACTTGACAATATTGCCACAAAAGTGCTTAATGTAAACTTTCTCTTTTCTTTCTTTAGTAGAACTGAGATTAGCCAAATAATTAGCAATGCAATTTGACACATGCTCTTCTTACAAGTCTTGTAAAAAATTCTAGGCTAGGCATCATGGCTCATACCTGTAAATCTCAGCACTTTGGGAATCCAAGGTGAGAGGATCACTTGGAAGCAACATGTGAGACCCTGTCTCTTTGAAAAATACAAAAATTAGCTGGATGTGGTGGCACACACCTGTCGTCCCAGCTACTTGGGAGGCTGAGGCATCTTTGGGCCCAGGAGTTCAAGGATGCATTGAGCTATGATTGCACCACTTCACTCCACACTGAGCCATAAAGTAAGACCCTGTATCTAAAAAAAAATTAAAATAATAAATTTCTAAAAGATTCTTCATATTTAGTTATTGCCTCTTGAAGACCAAGACACATATTTGTCTTCAGTAACCCAGAATAACGAGTACTTTAAAATAATTTTAATGTAAATTTGTCAATATTCATGCTAGATATTCATTGCATATTCCTTCTCCAAATATTAAAACTACATTTTTCCCATAAAATTGAAATGTTAGCAGCCAGTAGGGTCATTTAATTTTATTATCATTAAATGAATCATAGAAATGAAAATAACTGATTATAAAATAAAAGTTAACCTGAATAGAATGTTATGGTATGCTATTTATGACGCTAATTCACTCCCTAACCCAAACAACAACACACCATATTGGGTGATACTATTATCTCCATTTCCCAACTGAGGAAAATGGAGTTGAGAAAAATTAAATAGCTTCCTCTAAATTACCAAAATGCACAAGAGGCAGACTGATAATTTGAACCCAAGTGTCCAATTCTGTAAATTCATGCTAACTCATTAGGAGCTATAAGAAGTAATTAACATGCATTAGTTTATTTAATATACCCATCATCCCTAGGATGTAGTTATTTAACACATAAAACCAAGAATTTGGAAACATTCATTAATTTGCACAAAATTACACAGATGAGTCTGCTTCACATTTGTGTTCTTTGCACTGCACCTCACTAACTCTAAAGGTAAGGGAAGGTTTCTGACACAGTCACAACTTCATGAATTGGTTGGGAACCAAAAGAAAAGAGTCCCTTAATTATCTTTTGCAAAATTATCTAATCCTACCCTATTGAGTTTCCCCACCATGTCATGATGGGACACTGGTGCCATCAAAATGTCAGCATGAAACATCATTATCCCAGCCTTTTGCAATCGCTATGAAGAGTCCATAGGGGTGAGGACACTCTCAGGAACAAGTGCCTTGTTTCTATTTCACAAGAGGTGTGTCTAGAAGTCACCATTTCATTCTTAACTGCAGAGAGAAAAGAAATACATTTTTCTGACCCGGATGCACTCTTACTGTTCATCACAGATTTGTATTGACTTTTTCAACTTAAAATTGCACACTTTGGGGAATATTATTTTTAGAATCATGTATTATGAATGTTTGACCTCAGGTAGATGTTCAAAGCCTTTGTGAATTAGTAATATTCCGTGAGGTTGATGCATCTCTGGGCAACAGTAAATAATTCATGCTTTGATTTAATAGTTCTCATTTTAGCGTGAATATTCGTATTGTTTATGATAGGGAAAACAATTGCTTAGAATTGCCTAAACCCATAGGAAAAGTAGATATGATGACTGTTAGAAAGCAAAGCATTAATTTCTTGACTACTTAAAATAATTATATAAGTTTATATTTTGATGCAGCCATCATTATTGTAAATCATATCTATCACTGTGAGTGGTTGGTTGTTCATACCTAAATTGTTATCCACCTTAATGTTTTCACATAATAGGGAATAATATATGTTATTTTAAATGCATTTTATTTCCGTAAAATAATTTTCTGAAATAAAGTGTCATAAGAATATCATTTTAGATTGAGCTTTGTAAAATGTAACAAATAAATTTAATTATTTAATTGCATATTTATATATTATTGTATATACACACACACACACAGTAATAGTGTGAAGCCCTTACATTTATAGAGTTAAGAGTTCACTGGTCAATACCACAACTGTACATTTGTTGGGAAAAAAAATCTATTTGTGATTTGATCAGAATTTAACAATAGGTAAAATGTTTTTATTCATAATTTGATCAAACAGAAATTCATTGACTATTTACTATCTGTAATGTTCTTTGTTAAACAATGAGGAGAACACACACATGAATAACAAACACCATCTATCCAAAAACAGCTCGTGTCTATGACTGCACATTAACTCAGTCAGGAAGATCACCCAGTAAAACTTGAAAAAGCCATGGTGTATGTGAATTGTAGATTTATTACAGTCTACAAATTCTGCAGTCCTTTTCTTAAGGATTTAAGAAGATTCCTTTTTAAAATTTTCTTCTTTGGCTTAAAAAACACTTCAAGTTTTTGCCTGTTTGTTTACTCCAGCCTCTTTAAAATCACATGGGAAGCAATCTCAGATGCAAGATTTAAATGACATGGTGTCATATTAGTCTGTTAATTACTTTTATGAAACAAACTCAAGTGCTATAATTTATAATTCAAAAACTCTTGCTAACATTATTCTTCTTTGATTGATCCTTATAAAATTTTTTTCAAAGCTCGTGTTGTCACTAGTCTTTCCTTTGTTAGTTTTAAAAGCAAAATGTTTTTAAAAATAAAAATGCTTATGCTAATTCCTGTTTCTTATTAGTTATTATTATTGTCCTTGTATGAATTATAAAAAAATCCACAAGATTTTAAGTAAATGTTAACTAAAATTATAATAAATGGTTACTTTTAAACTATGCAGGCCTTAAATAAAATTGAACAAAACATGGCTGTGGTGAGCCTCTTGAAGATGTAATGAGAAGCATATAATTATCTTTTGTCTAATAGTAGAATTGCCAGGCAGAATTCAGTCGTTTGAGATGGTAAGAGCATTCTGAATTCTCTAAAAGTAACACAAATTACTCTATTAGGGAGTGCTTATGGAATGACCTTTTGTACTGAGCACCTAAATATAGTATTCACGTTAAAAAGCATTCATCCAAAACTAATCCGAAAATCTATTCAATGGCGCACGTCTGTGCTCATTCTTCTTGTTTCACTTTGAAACTCACTTGGGGAAACTTATTTGAACATTAAAATCAGGAGAGACTGAGGAAGAAGCTAGATGTACATAAATAGGATCCTTTTTATTTTAAAAGTGTGACCTCATTATCCATTATATATCTGCACTTTGTAAAAACTTCCTTGTGTACCAATTACACAATGTTTTATTTAATTAAATGAATATGTATAAAATATTTGCACACTACCATTTCAATATTGTTTTAACTTAAGTACTATTGTGACATCTAATTGTGACATCTGCTATTGTGACATTTGCCTGCACCATCTGGTCCCCTGGGAGGTCAGTGCAGGGTTCCTCCATTTTGACATGAGTAAATTCTAGATTAGGTATTTGGCAGTTAACTCATCTGGATATATGGGAACAGAAGTGCCAGACACGTAGATAATATTTGGAGAACAGGAGCAGACTTGGAACATGCTGAATAGAGGACAAGGAAGTGAGTAAAGAACTATGAACAAATCCATTAAGTATTCAAGATTTAAACATTTAGGTAGTAAATACAGCAAACAGGGTGAGAGATATTGGCCACTTGGTGTGTCTAGAGCAGTACTAATTGACAGTTTGTTGTAAAAAAACTCTCACTTAACTACAAGGGCATATAAAATTCTCCACTAACTGGTTTAAAAAGATATATTTCACTAGTGAAAACAACTGAGAAATAAGGGCATTTCTGGGAATTCTATATACCTTTTTTAAAATTTCCTTTCAATTTCTTAGCATCTAGATATCATGTGTGTAATGATTCAAGAGAAGATATATCTGGGTGTCTGTCTCCCCAAATTCTAGTTCTCCAATTGTATTTTCACCAGCGAGTAATTTTGTTGTTTTTTTTCTCCGAAAATAAATTACTTTTTATACATGGCTCAAAGCTTGGTCAAGAATGATGAGAAAGCTCTTATTCTTCCATCAAGAAAGCTTTGTTTCATTTCTCTTTTCACCTGGGTCACTGGCCTGAGGTCTGTAAAAATGATGTTTTTTTTTTTTTTGCTTTTGTATTTGATGTACTTGGAAACAAGAAAACTGACAGAAAGCTTCTAGAATCAGGAAACAGAAGTGATATATATATATGTGTGTACATAAATATATCTAGTAACATTATATGTACATATTTATATAGCTTTACACATATTTTAATTATGTAGTATGGGAGATTAGAATTTAATGTAATTTAATTATTGAATTTAATTGTTCCTAATTAGAATATTTATGATAGAACCAGTAATTTCAGATTCTTTTTCTAGATGGCCTTTAACCCAAATTATGAAAAAAAAAGTCCAATTTCTATTATAATTATCTTTTCTAAGTCAACTTTTCAAAGATGGTTTTGAGTTATACAATAATACTATGGCATTATTATTTCTGTTTTTATTGCATCTAATTTTTTAAGAGTTTTTACTTCTGTAGGTATTTTCTGTAAAACAATAAATTTCAGGGTGCTTTTTATTGATAATTACTAAGAAATCATCACTCTCTCAGGAAAAAGTCCCATAGAAGCAGATCCTATTTGTTATTACTGAGCTAAGTCTTCTAAATTAAATTTCTTCCATTGATTTATCTTTTAGGCTTAAAGTGAAGCAATGTCAATGACATTCTACTAGTATACAAATTCCATATTGGCAGGGAATTTGTCTCTAAGTTTCTAAATCTCAGCACCTAGAATGGACATTTGCACACAGATAACTTATAATCAATATTTGTTATATGCTTAAATCAACTTTCAGAATAAAATCCTTATAATAAAGGGGATAAAATGAAGCTAGTACCAATTTGTTGCCCAAATTTCCAAAGTTTTTCATTTTCTCTTTGGCACATTGATTTTATGTATATGTACTTCTGTGTGTGCCTGTGTGTGTTTGTGTTGAGTGTTTTCAATTTGTCCTTGGTAGTGAAAGCAAGCTTACATTTGCTATAGTCTCATACTTCCTTTCATAGTCTTCAATATGTTTACCTCTTGCACTAGACTGTTTACCTCCATGGACTTCATCTCCCTTCTGGGCTATCAAAATAGCTTCCTATCTACTTTTTCTGCCTTTAGACTCTTATTTCTCCTGTTGTCAAAATACATTTATTTTAAAAAGTGACTAATTACATAAATTTCCCCATTAAAAACCCTTTCTCGTTCTCCAGTGACCCAGTATTAAGTCCAAAATGCAGATCATATTGAATCTTTTCTTTCCAGATTGTCCCCAGTCAATCTCAACCCTTAATGACAGCTAACTAATTACAGTTTCTAAATGTGGCTTGAATATGCTACTCTTCCTTTATTTGACAGCTTGGAGGTCTACTAGGTACCCTTTAAAACCTCAGATCTAATACCACCTCATCTGTGAGATCTCTGACCATCACTTCTGACTGTCCCAAATATTTTTAGAAAACCTCTGCTAGCACATGTAGTATCTATTGCTCTTTTACACATATCGTCCTGCCCCGGACTGTGTTATGAGTCTTTTGAGCAACATTATGGTCTATACCTGGTCTCATAGCTGATAGATGTTACATACTTGTGGTATGGATAAAAATATATTTCAAAACATTTATGGGTAAATTTTGTGTTTGCATATTGTGTGTGGTATATCAAATTCATTCAATATAAAATATATATGTTTTATAAAACCATCATGAATGGCTTGTAGTGTTGATACTTTGTTAATTTACTTACATTTGGGCACAAAGAGGAGATGGAGAAAAGTCAACCACTCCTTGCTCGAAGATGCAAATTGCATCAAGACCCTTTGCCTTCAAAAATTCACATGCTGAATACTGTATTAGCTTCCAAACTAATAGTTCTGACACTTCCTCTGAGATAGTTTTTAAGACCAAAGGTATTACTGACCTGGTAATAATATGGGAGAAAATGTATGATTTTAATTTTCCACTCCAAATAATAGTCCGGGAAAATGTTCATGAGTCTATTGTGTGTAAGATGGGGAACCAAGGTAAACAAGCAGAGGAGCAGAGGTAATTGTCAGGAGATATTTGTTTTGAGAATTTGTAGTTTTCTAAAATGCCTACAAACACATGCACACAGTGCACACATGCACACAATGATTAAATAGCTTATCTGAATGCAAGTTTCAGTCAAATGGACTTTGAGGGTACATTAAATATTCAACTCTATTTTCCTTTCATTTAGACATAGTAAATGAACCCTTAGCTACCATTAGCATCTGCCCCTCCCTCAACACAGACTCAGCAAAATTATCTTATGCTACAGTGGTTCATGAGTTTCCAGCCTCCACAGACTAAAAGGGAGCATCTGCAGGGCAGGGCCTGAAACAATGTAAAGTAGATTCATTACCTTATCACAGCTATGATTCAGTCTCCCTGCAGGTACGCTGGGAGAGGGGCTAACCATGGACATTCATTCATTCATTATAGTGGCCATTCCGTGAAAAGCTCAAGTTGCTGTAGCCATTTTAATATTTTTCCCTACAGGCAGAAGCGGTCTGTGTAGCTGAGGAAAAGAAGGAAGCTTTAGAGAGAACCAAAAACTGATAAATTAATCTTTGAAAAAATTGTTGACAACTTTTCAAAAATTACCAGTTCATAGACTATGTTCACTTTAAATGAGCGGCTTATTTTATCAAATGACAGTTTTCCTAAAGACTTATTATTCAGTATGGATAGAAATTTACTTTTCTGTCTGTCACCACAGTGATATTTATTTATGGAAAGTGGATGAAGTTTCTCAATTTCAATGAGTAAATTCTCAGTGGTAAACCGTGTCCTGTGTGTTTAATGTCCTTGAAAGTTTTCTTTGGAGTTAGTTGTTAACATATTTGGTAAATTATATCAGTTTCTTGTGATTATATTTCAGAAATTATTATAAAAATTCATCTTAATTCTCTGAGATAATTAGTTTAAGAGAGCACAGCTCACATAATCATGCATGGATGGCATGTTAAATATGCATTCACATTGAAATCTACATTTGATGGTACACTTCTCAACTGCTATATATTTATTGCCGTACAAATAATCAGCAGGTCAGGACCTCGAGCACTAAAGCAGGCGGTCTGAGAGAACAGATAGGCAGGGGAGCCAGTTGTTAAAAATCACTAGCGCACTACTGAATGTGTCCTACGGAGATTTCACAAATTGAAAATCACCCTGTGTTATGATTTGTTAGGTTATATCTCATCACAATTTGTTGCATATTATTTTAAATGTACAATTGCAAACCACACACTCCCCCAAAATTCTAAAATGATCAATGATTATTAAAAAGTCCAGAAATGACAGATGCTGGCGAGCTGCAGAGAAAAAAGAATGCTTTTACGCTGTTGATGGAAGTGTAAACCAGTTCAACCGTTGGGGAAGACAATGTGGTGATTCCTTAAATATCTGGAGGCAGAAAGACCATTAGATCCATCAATCTCGTTACTAGGTATATACCCAAAGGAATATAAAACATTCTATTATGAAGATACAGGCACATGTATGTTCACTGCAGCATTATTCACAATACCAAAGACATGAAATCAACCCAAATGCCCATCCAGGATAGACTGGAAAAAGAAAATGTGGTACATATACACCATGGAAGACTATGCAGCCATAAAAAGGCATGAGATCATGTCCTTTGCAGGGACATAGGAGGAGCTGAAAGCCGTCATCCCCAGCAAACTAATGCAGGAACAGGAAACAAAACACCGCATGTTCTCACTTATAAGTGGGAGCTGAACAATGAGAACACATGGACATATTGCAGGGAACACACACTGCGGCCTGTCAGTGGGGGTGGGGGAAGGGATACCATCAGGAAGAATAGCTAATGGATGCTGGGCTTTATACCTAGGTGATGGGATGATCTTTGCAGCAAACTGCCATGGCACACGTTTACCTATGTAACACACCTGCATATCCTGCACATTTACCCCAAAACTTAAAATAAAAGTTGAAGGAAAAAAAAGAGTCCAAGCCAACAGCAATCAACAGGAATTTTCTATGCAACAAACACATTCTAGGCTCCAGGGAAACAAAATTTTGTATTCATGCATAAGAATTTGACATATTAGTGAGCAACTCAAATTTATCTCAAGATTACAGGAAATTCATGAGGTATATATTTAGGGAAAGATGAAATTTCTAAACTCAGATAGTTCTGAATAAAAATCAATGGGCCCAAATCTTAACAATGATGTACAAATCTGATATCTTCTTTTACAGAAGTATTATAGGCTGACAACTGAGATTTTGGCTGAAACACTGATGGCTATAAGTCATTATTTTTCTATTTTAACATTAATAATAGTCTTTTTACTTTATATACACAATATAAAAATAATGTTATACAATATAAAATAATGTACTTCAAAACTGCCTTTCATAGAAAGATTTTCAGGTAAATTTGGAACATCTCAACCTCACATTTAACAAAATTTCATCACTTGATCTTCAGCAGAAAATAACTGGATTTTTATTAGTAGCTACATTCTTATAACAATTTAAATCATTCAAGACAAAATAAAAATGTTTCATTAATTCCATTCTATATAATTTCAGAATTTTCTAAGCGTTTGTTTTAAGCATTGTGTTTAATATTTGAAAGTTATGCTATTATTTTAGAGCAAATTAGGAGTAAAAATCAGAATGCAAACATCAATAATCATAGTATCTATATACTTCTAGTAATTTTAAGTCTAATGATTTATTATATTTTATGAGCAAATTTTAATTGTATCTTTAGTACAGAGGCAAACGTTCTGTCCCTTGACATGGTAACACAACTTCATTTCACAAACACTAAGGAATTATCAGTTTAAATCTATCTTGCTCTGCAATTGTCAAATACCTGAAAGCATTGATGTTGGACATATAAGCCATTTATCTATTTGTTTGTCTATTTATATGTATACCTATCTATTTTTTTAAAAATGTACAGGTTGTTACCTCAATAAAACTGAGGCAAATTGAATTAGTTAATGGGTAGCACCAAATTTGTTTAGCGGTCTCATGCTTTTGCTTCTTTGAACCCGAAACAAAGAGAAGCACATCTGTAAAATTTAATAGGTACAATAATGATATAAAGCATGAGAAAAGTGCTAATATTTTCATCACAGACAGAATAGATTCATACATTTTTCTTGTTTTTATTTATGGGAGAAAGGACTTATAAAAGGCCATGTTTAAGATTTTCCTGCTACTTACATGTCTGAAATGGAAAACAGGGGAAGAGCATTTAGTTCATTCGAGCTACCCTTGTGACGTTAAAAAGAAAATTGATTGTGGTTTATTAGTCCTTTCCAATAAGCACTCAAAGGTTCAGCTAACTGAAAGCAATTGATACTAGTGGAATCGATGGTGCAGTAGAATACCCTAATGGGTATTGTTGGAACTTTTAATTCTCATTATGCAGTTTATTCTTTCAAGGGTTATTTGATGGAGTTTTTGTTGATGAGTATCTTTAAAGCTTTTCTGCTTAAATAATTGGTTTATTGAACAGCTCTGCCCTATTTTAGGTCAATTTACAGATACATGCATTGTGATTCATGCAAACATATAAGCATATTAAAAATGAAAAATTTACATAGCCTACATAGTATTTATATTTCTTCCATTCCTTTCTCATTGATGGAATGCATCCAAGCTCCAATGATGTTCTTTCATTAAAAGTTATTGTAATTAAAAATTTCAGTAGGCTAACTTGTGATTGAACCAGTCAATGAGTTGCTGATATGTCACGTAAGATTAAATCTGAACAGTAGTATTTCATCTACCTTTCCTATTTGCATTTTCACTGCCAGTTTTTAAATGTAAATTAGAAAATGTTATCTTACATGATTCACAAATGCACACCTAAAACTGGTCTTTTTGTTTTAAAGAGACTATAATTTTAGCAAAGAGATCTACAGGAGGGGGAAAACTCCTAAACCTTCTGTATCAGAGCAAGCAAGGACTAAATTACAGGAGTAGCCATCTGCTTGCAATACTTACAGGAGGGAAGGGGAAAGAACAGTCTGAACTCACTGCTTTAAACTAAATCTTCCCCCTCTCCTCCTCTCCTCTTTCCTCTTTTTTTAAATGTTTTTTCTTTGATTGTTCGTTTTGCTTTTCTACCTCCTCTAAACTAACAAAAGAAATATCTTCTTTCCTTCGTCTACTTCCAAGAACTTTGTGTCCCCTAAGAAATTGCTGGTGCGCACGTGTCGCCTCTCTCCTTGGACTAATAATGCTAAATTTCTTTAAATACCCCCTTGCAATTAGCTTATTTATTTCTCATCCACATGTTTCTAGCAAATATGTGGCTATGTACACAGATGAACACACATACACACACTGACACATATATGCACTCATTGCCTTGTTTAAGATAATCCATTAACCTAAGTAAATATTTCTGAACATATTTTTGTAATGAAAATATGTATTGAAAATTTTAAGTCCCAACTTTCTTTACTTATAACTATAGTAAAATCAATAAAAGTTGAAAAATCCTTTATGAATACCCAAAGATATGCAAAATTTATTCTTTCTGTCAATATATTTTATGTAAACATAAAGATACATACATACTTATGTATATACAATATATTTTTATGTAAAAATGAAGATATATACATACTTATGTGTATATTTTTTCAAATAAATATTAGAAACGTTTTGATTTTAACAGATTGACTCCAGCAATTTAATCTAATATATTCTTAGTATCTTTCCATCAATTCAAAGACAATCAGAGAATATCAGTATAAAACTACAGGTATCATTTGAAGAAGACTAATAAAGTTTGCAGTTTTGTTAAGATGTATCTCCCTCAGATTTCTTACCACCCAGAATATGAAGTCTGTTGTGCCTGTCCTTACATGATGCCAAAGAATTTCTTTCACATGGGAAGTAGAAGTAATGTGGCAGGGTAGAAAGAAACTTAGATGAGGAATCAGAAGATAGGGGCTTCCATGATAGAGCTGCTGGTTATTACCTGCTCAAATTTGGGCTACTCACCTAACCATTGAGAAACTGAAAGTACTTGAATACTGAGAATGATAGGTGACATGGCTTGGATCTCTGTCCCTGCCCAAATCTCATGTCAAATTGTAATCCCTGATTTTGGAGGTGGGGCCTGGTGGGAGGTGATTGGATCATGGAGGCAGATTTCTCATTAATGGTTTAACAGCATCCGTTTGGCACTGTCCTTGTGCTAGTGAGTGAGTTCTCGTGACATCTGGTCTTTTAAAAGTGTTTAACACCTCCCCACTCCTTGCTCCTGCTCCTGCCATGTGAGATGACTCGCTCACAATGGTTGGAAGCTTCCTGAGGCCTCCCTAGAAGCAGAAACCACTATGCTTCCTTTGCAGCCTGCAGAACCATGAACCAACTAAACCTTTTTCTTTATAAATTACCCAGTTTCAGGTGTTTCTTTATAGCAGTGTGAGAATGCACTAATACAACAGAGTTCCTGTAAAAATCAAATAAAATCATATATGTGAAAGTGCCCTGAAAACTCTTAATTCATATTAAATAGTATAATATTGTTGTTATTAATATTACCAATAATTTATAGGGAAAAGTAAAAACCTTGACATTGCTGAAGTGTGAAGTTTGGCCCAGCATGAAAGCAAAACACAACTTCTAATGAGGTTGAGATACTGTCCCTCTTTGGCCAAAGTTTTCTTTGCAGAAAATTTAAGGTGTAGTTCAGGTGCCAATATGTTGTAAGCACAATTTATATTGTGTAAATGGAGAAGAACATAAAATGAGTGTCATATTTCTGAAAAATATTTGAATATGTTCAATAATTAAAATAAAGATGTCTAATGTGTTAAAGCAAACTCAGTGTTTAGCAAGCAAGACATTTGTTAATTATCACAGCTAGCAATTACTGAATGCTCATCAAATGAAGGCACTCATAAAATTAAACATGTTGAAATAGGTCTTAAAAAATTCCTGACTACAAATAATTATATAAAACCATCATTGTGGTGATTATTTATACATAGTTCTTTCATTTAATCTTTATCATATACTATTGAGGCATACAGTATCATTATATATTTTGTATTAATCCAAAGAACTTGATAGTTATAACCCATTTTAATTATTATAAGACTACTACATAAAGAGGTTAAATTACTTTCCCAAGGTTGTAAGGTGAAAGTGTAATTAGACTGTAGGAACCTTATCCAAAAGCTTCTAATCATTTGTAGAACTAACGCCCTGAGAACTCATCACACTCAAACAAATAAACAACTAGATTTAAGTTAGGATAAAGGTGAGAAAAAACCTAGGTGGTTTCCAGAAATTTCACCTTATGTTCTGTGATCTCCATGTGGGAGGTGTCAGTTAATTTTACCATCTACGAAAGCATTTTGAGAGGGTGCAGTGAAATAAAAATATAGTAATTTTTAATTTTTCTATTACTCTAGTCTTCAAAAATAGCAATCAAAGAGAGAAGTAACATTAGACATGTTGAAATAGATCTTTAAAAATTCTTTACTAAAAATAATGATATAAAGTATATGACATGAAAAAGAAAATCTACTGTTTAGCTGGTCAACTCTTTCTCAAAATACTTGAAAGAGTATATAATTGTTTTACAGTGAACTTCTCAACAATATTTATATTCATAGAAGAAAAATTTGAAATAATATAAAAGTTCCAACATTTTTGCCAAATCTCAAATAACATTTTAATTTTCTGCATTTTATCCAGTTTTAAATCCTCTGAGGTTTCATTCCAGATTCAACTGTAAAACAAGACAGACTTTGCAGCCAAGTCTTTTTTTTTTTTTTTTTTTAATATAGTCAGCAGCCAGCTTATCTAAGGAGGCTATCTACTCTTGATCCACTGACTGTATCTTTGGTGATATCTGGCATTCTGAAATGGAATTCTGAAAACTGGTCCAGAAATTCTACTCTGGAATAGCATTTGGTAGGAGCAAAATGATGTGGCTTAGATAGCAAATAACCCTAGGGGATTTTCTAGGCCAACTCTGAGAGTCTGGTGAATATGGGAAACTTCCTGAAACCATGCCTGCTCTCCAAAGTACTTTATACCTTTTGAGGTGTTCCTGTCTACCTTATCAATGGGAAATAGGAAATTCAAGAAGGGGAATATGTGAAAGGCAGTAATGGATTGAATCTCTCATCTCTCCCTCTGGCTTCCTCTGCACTGGTTATGAACAACAACTTCCCGCACTTCTTATTTATCTGGTAATTTATTTTCTCTTTAATTTTGAAATGCAGATTTGATGAACATGAGATTGATGGACTTTTTTGTTGTTTGTGTCAGGATTTTGATTGTATTAGCTCTCTGCATTCTGATCTGCTTTGTTTTTCATGAGAAGTTAGTTGTTAGTCTTATTGTGGTTCTCTTGTACACAGTGAGTCATTTTACTCTTGTTCTTTTGAAATTTTCTTTGTCTTTGGCATAAAACAATTGTACTGTGATATTCTGAGAATTAATCTTTGATTTTAATCTACCTTAATTTCGTTGAGCTTTTTGAGTATATTTACAGTATAACATTTACATAATGTTTCTCAGCAAATTTGGAAAGTTTTCAAGCATTATTTCTCTGGCCTTCTTTCTTCATGTTTCTTTTCTTTTTTTTCTAGTAATCCTTTCATATGTACATTAATGTACTTAATGGTATTCCATATTTGTTTGAGGCACTGTTTATTTATTTTTTATTCATTTTACACTGTTTTTTAGATTGCATGAATTTTGTTGATCTATAATCAAGTTTGCTGATTTTTTTAACTTTTCACTTCGAATCTATCATTAATTCCTCTAGTGCAGTTATTGTTTCAGTCATTATATATTGGAACTTCAGAATTTCCATTTGGTTTCTTTTCCTATTAATACATTAGCCTCCTTTCTGCCCCTTGAACTCTCCAGGCCTACTCCTGCTCGAGGGCCTTTGTGCTTGCTTTTCTTTGTAATACACGTTTATCCCAGAAATACATGTTGTTTGCTCTCATAATTATTTTAGGTGTTTTCCAAGTATCATCTTGGCCATTTTATTTCAAATATATCCTATATTATTCCTGTTCTTCCTATTATTATTATTCTGTCTTAATTTTTCTATCTATTACCGTGTTATACACTATGCATCCTCCCGATGCCTTTGTCTGTTATCCTGCTTCCTCCACTAGACTCCAAGTTTCCTTGGGGCAGGAATTTGTCTCTGTTTTATTGGCTTCTATATCTTCACCACCACAAATAGTACTTGGAACTTCTTAGGATTTTATACATATTTTTGAAGGAATAATATAACCTTTCTAAATATAAAGAATATTTGAGTAGATCACTATTTTCCTTTTTGAAAGTCTGTTACCATATTTAATTAACTGACTCATTACTACAAACAGAAGTGAAACATCATATTCTGAGCTATTTCTTCCTTTTTGGTCTTCTTAACTTTCACCTCTAATATAGATTTAAAAAAAATAGAAAATTGGAAATATAACTAAAACCTTAGAAATACTTATAAAAATTATCAAATTATCCAACATTTAAAAATGACTTCCCAATTTTCCTCTGTTATCTACAGTGTCTTAAATGTTACCTAGATGTTTATATAAATTAAGCATATATTTATATACATATATATATTCAAGTTAATAAATATTCCCTTTACCAGCACTAAACTTAAGTAAATACACTTGTTTTCTACTTAAGATTCTGTCACAAACTAACTATCCTCAGAAAAGTCACTTACTGTCTCTGGATTTCAAATAACTCATGAAGAAAATATAGAAGAAACAAAGAAAAAATGTATAATATTTTCCATTCCAAGATGCTTTGAGTCTATCCAGATGATTTGCGAGTGACTATATCTTATAATTCCTTATTATTTGAGCAAGAAAGAAAATCTAATTGAGAGCAACATAGTTTGATATATTTTAAATAAGTATATACTGACATGGAGAATAAAGGCTTCTGTTTCTGTTCTTGTTTGGTTTGGTTTGATTTATATTTTTCAGTAGCGACAGAAGCCTAAAACAGTTTATTGATTATATTTTGAAAAGGCTTTCCAGTGTAAAATTATCTAATTGATCGTTGTGAAACAGGAATTAGTAACAGGATAGTGACCACTGTATTCAATGTGACACTGTTCTGTCAATTTGCTCTTAATGCATTTACCTTTCTAAACAAGAGGACAAGAAGCCAGAACAAATTTGTGAATAAGAAAACAAACAAAGGAAGCAATTGAAACCCATAAATACTGATAACCAGTTATGGAAAAATAAAATTATTGTTATAATTTATGTTACGCCTGACCCACTGATCCGGATGGCAAAGAAATGCCTGAATCAATAAAGCAGACTGTGTTTTCTTCTATTTCCTGAGTTCATAATTGTCATTTCTCATTCTTTATCTGAATGTTGTTGCTAATTAATAGCTCTAAAACTGTTCTATAACAAATTTCTCCATCATTTGCATAGATAAGTCGATAAAGTACTGAGTTAAGTTTCTGGCTTCTGAATCTTTATCAGTTGTTGAACTCAGCCTGATGTCTTATAAAGAATAATGGAAGTGGGCAAATAAATTAAGTCAACTTGCAAAGTTACATTAAGTGAACTTGCAAATTTAAAACATACATATAAAAAATATTTCTTATGGAATCCACAGAAAACATCCCAGTTAGCACCAGCAGAAGTGTAAACCATACCCATACCTTGAAGAATAATGAAAAACAAGTTGTTATCTTATCAGTAATATGCTGCAGTTTTATATCTGTGGCCCAATTATGTTGTAAAACCAACTCATTCCGTACAGAGACATCTATTGTATAAAGAGTGGTCTGGAACCTCAGTGGGCATCAGAATCACTTGGAGGGCTTATTAAAACACAGGTCACTGGGCACTCCCCCAGAGTTTCTGAACCAGTAGGTCTAGTATAAGGCCCAAGTACTTGCTTTTCTTAGCAAGTTCCCAGGTAATGCCGATGCTGCTGATCCAGGGATCAAAGTTTGGTTATCAACAATCTGAGTTGTGCAGTTATAGTTTGGAAAAAAATGTTAAAGGTATTAAATCAATTTCTCTAAGTCAAATGTTAATCATCTTTAAATTTATTATTAAGTTTGAGCAACTACCATGTGTCAGACATGGAGGTAGATGCCAGCAATATGCTGGTTAGATAATCTCCCTCAAGAGGTTCATGGTAAGGAAAGACATGTGACAAGATAATTACTGTGCAGTATTTTCACAGAAGGATGCACAGGGGCTTTAGACTGATGGTCTATTGAATATTCTCAAATAGCACAGCATGTCCAGGAGTGGGTATTTAAATGTATTACTCTGTCCTGAGTATGTTAGTAAGTGATTACAGTAACTCAAGCCAGAAACAGTGATGATTCTTAATACCTTTCCGTTTTCCCAGATTGCTTTGAGTTTAAAATAAAATGCTTTAAAATGGTGAAAAATAACTCTGAATGATTGGCCAACTACTGAGTTGCACAAGATCAGAGCACCAGATCCCTCCTTTCCCCCAGTCCCCCAGCTTTTGTTTTCTTACACATTGTTACATTTCTTCCATGCTATATAAACCCCTAGTTTTAGTCAGTCAGAGAGATGGATTTGAGGCTGAGCTCCCATCTCCTCAGCTGCAGCACCTGTCTCAGTCATTGGCTTTCTGTGCAGGGAGCAGCAGTACCTAGACCAAACCCTGGTATTTTGGTAAAACAAGCTTCAATTTAATGATCTTTCCTAGCTACATACATTGAATGAGTGAATAAATGAAAAAAAGGAAAAACAAATACTCACGTCGATCTTGCCATGCAGCATGCTTGTGGTATCTACTGGTTCCCATTATTGGTTTTCTTCTCTTTGAGAGCATTGACTTAAACTTATACCATTAAATAATACTTACATTTAAAAAACTTATCTTCATTTTACTGAATTTAATTTCATTGTAACATTTTTTGTTATCGTTGTTGAAATATTATCTACTACATTTCACCTGTCCAGAAAATGGTATCATCAGCAATTTAATGGGTATGCTATCCCTCAGAATCACTATTGATTGTATTAAACAATGAGAATGAGCTCAAAGATGAAAAACTGACTTACGTTTGGTGTCTATACTCACATTTTGCTTTTTTGAGAAAAAGAGAGGCCACTGCAGTGTGGATTAGTTCAACATGTTTATTGAGAGGGCTACAGTTTAAACTTTTAATATATTTGATCTCAAATTTGGAGTTAAGTGTCATATACATCAGACTTCTGCAATGATAGCAGGGCTGTAGAGTCACTCCACAGAAAACGTTATTAAATAGACCTCCACTTTTGAGAAACAAAATGACTATTGTGGGTGTTAGCAAATAAGGATGATCTTTCCATTTCTTCTCTTCTTTTATTTGCCAAATAAAATAAACAAACAAAGGTATCTAAATTTAGAAAGCTTTTCAGCATCCCTCTGTTGCAGTGATTTTAGATAAACGTCAATCCTATTCATACAAGGAGGGTGTTCAAAGAAGCTGGGAGAAAATGTGAAGACAATCATGAAGGCCTTTTTGTACTCTGATCTTTCAGCTAGAGGTCCAGAGATAATATTTAGAAAAATGAGACAGAGTTTTAAAATAATCTTGATAAGTGATCTTTTAAAAAAAATTGGTAGGTGGAGACAGTTGAGAAGAAATTTTTAAAATCCCTTGAAAAACTACTGATTCTAGGTGGATATTTGGACAAATATAACCAGTGACCAGAACACAACAGATGCCAATAACATTAAGACCCTGAAAGCAGGGGATGCAGCCCATGGAGCTCTGGAAGATGAAAGGTTTGCTCTAATCCCCCTCCATGAAAGCAGACTTTCTACAGAGAGGAGATTTTAGTCCTGGGAGCATGAAACTTATAAAGAAAGGTTGTTATTTTCTTTTATTTTCTTCCACACCATCTTTCCCCACTGTACCCTGAAGACAGACAAGATCTATGAGAGTCTAGTGAGAAAATAAGTAATATCCAGTATGATATATGGAAGGAAAGTGATAAAAAGAATTAATAATTCTGCTTTATGTTAAAAAAAGACACTTTTGCAAAAGTGGGTTCCACTGTGCCCACCATTCAATAAGCAATTGATATTTTTACTAAAATAATACATGAGGCTGGCAAGACAGAGAACTGCTAAAACTAGAATATTCCAGCATCTATTTTTAATAGTCTTTTGCAAACTTAATTTCCCACTGTTCTTAATATGAACTATGTTCACTAGTATGATTGTACCACTTACTGCCCCACAAACAAAATTTAGCAGAACATCATCTGCATGATCTTAGAATTCTTCTTATATATTTAATAGTACTCCTTTCAAATAATTCCTTAGTCTTCCAAGAAGTCTTCTGGGATGACAAATAATCTGTATTTTTTCTCTAAAATCCATGCTACTCACTGCCAGGACCAGTCACTGGGCAAGCAGAACACAGGACTCATGTCATTTGATATCTTCCAATGTACACAGCCCACATTCCACTGAGAAACTCTCAACCCAAACTTCATTAGTTGGTTAGCAACTTAGAGTTTAAGTAAAGAGTAATAAATTATAGTTGTTTTACTTTTAATTTGATTTCAAGAAATGGTTCCTTTGCTGACTTGCTTTCCTTTTCTGCCCTAGAGGAAGGATTCAAAAGTATACTTTCTCAGCTTTTACTTATATACTTTTTCACATGCCACCTATAAAAAGCATGTTTAAGTTCTTATTTTGGTGCCAATCTCCAACAGCCTAAGGAACATTTTTTTGGGGGGATACTAGAACATCATCTTAAGAACAACTTATTTAAATCCATCACTTCAATATATTCCTGAACTGATTTTTTTCTCAAAAAACATTTGTCTTAATGCACTACCTCGCAGCAATGTCATATAACATTTGACTCACTTTCTCTTCAATGGAAGTAAATGCTTGCCAGGTTTTCTAGGCAAACAGTACTTATATTTCTTAATTTAATTTTTAAAGTATTTTAAGTAATGTGTAATATAGCATAGCATTGTTCACATTTATGTAACCACTACCCCAGGCCAGTAACAAAATTTACCATATTTCTAAAAGTCCCTTTGTGATTTCTTTCAATCATTATTTTCTACTTCTTCATAGTGGTTATAAAAAATCTGACATTAAAAGCCACAGATAGGCTTTCTCTGTGTTTATATCATACATAAACTACACAGTATGTATTATTTAATTTTATGTCCTCTTTTTCTCAATACATTTGTGAGATTAATCCACATCATTATGGATAGCAATAGAAAATAAAATAGTATTTTTAAACATGTTTTTAAAAAATGTTTCTAGATTTAGCTCCTCAGTATCGTCTTTTGGATTTTTCGCTTCATATTATGAGACAGATTGGTCTATGTTTTTCTTTCTTGTAATGTCCTCATCAGGTTCTGTTATTGGTTATACTTGTCTCATGAATTAAGTTGAAAATTATGCAACGTTGTTTATATCCTGAAAAAATCATGTATATACTTTTAAATTTATTTTTATGTGTACATAGAAGTGCATATATGTATTGGTATATGAGATATTTTGTTACAGGCATGCAATGTGTAATAACATCAGGATAAATGGGATACCCATCACCTCAAGCCTTTATTATTTGTGTTACAATCATTCCAATTATACTCTTCTAGTTATTTTTAAAGGTACAATAAATTATTGTTGACTATAGTCACCCCACTGTATTATTAAATACTAGATATTACTTTTTTGTTTTAACTATATATTTATAGCCATTGGTATTGTTTGAATCTGTGTCCCCACCCAAATCTCATGTTTAAATGTAATCCCCAGTGCTGGAGGTGGAGCCTGGTGGGAGGTAATTGGATTATGGGGGCAGTTTCTAAGGGTTTACCACCATCCCCCTAGCACTATTCTCATGATAGAGCTCTCACAAGATCTGATAGGTTAAAAGTGTGTAGCATCTCCCTGCTCTCGACTCTTCCTCCTTCTCCAGCCAGGTAAGACATGCATGCTACTCCTTTGCCTTCCACCGTGATTGAAAATTTCCTGAGGCCTCCCCAGAAGCCATCATGATTTCTGCACTGCCTAAGGAAACATACAGCATGAAACAATCAAACCTTGCATTTCTTTACAGCAATGCAAGAACGGACTAATACAGAAAATTGGTACTAGGGGCAGGGTATTGTTATAAAGATACTTGAAAATATGGAAGTGACTTTGGAGCTGGGTATCAGGCAGAGATTGGAAGAGTGTGGAAGGCTCAGAAGAAGATAGGAAGATGAGGAAAAGTTTGGAACTTCCTAGACACTTGTTCAATAGTTGTGACCAAAATGCTGACAGTGATATGGACAGAGATGGCCAGGCTGATGAAGTCTCAGATGGAAATGAGGAACTTACTGGGAACTTATAGCAATGTGAGAACAGATGAATACATCCATTAACTATTCCTGCTTCTCTCCACTTCAGCCCACTAGCATTTCCTGCTTCTGGTAATCATCATTCTACTCTCTATCTCCATGAGTTCAATTGTTTTAATTTTTAACTTCCACATATGAGTGATAACATGCAAAGATTACCTTTGTGTGCCTGGCTTATTTCACTTAACACAGTGTACTCCACTTCCATCCACGTTGTTGCAAATGACAGGATCTCATTGTTTTCTGTGGCTGGATCATATTCTATTATGCATATGTACCACCCTTTCTCTTTTATTTTCAACTTTTATTTTAGATACAGGGGGTACAAGTTCAGGTTTGTTACATGGGTATATTGTATGATGTTCAGGTTTGGGGTGCAGATCCCAATACCCATGTAGCACCCAATAGGTAGTGTTTCAACCCACAGACCTCTACCTCCCTCTCTCCCCAGGAGTCATCAGTGTCTTATTCCCATGTTTATGTCCATGTGTGCTCAATGTTTAGCTCCCACTTATAAGTGAGAACATGTGGTATTTGGTTTTCTGTTCCT